>NC_000011.10:99596667-99899697 GCF_000001405.40 Homo sapiens | reverse complement strand
GACAATAAAAAAGGAATTATAGGTCAATATTTCTGATTAACATCAATGCAAAACTCCTCAACAAAACACTAGCAAACTGAATCCAACAATACATCATAAAGATAATTTGCCATGATCAAATGTGCTTCGCTCAAGGGATGCAAGGATGGCTCAATATACATAAATCAATAAACATGATCCACCACATAAACAGATATAAGAATGAAAACTATATGATCATCTCAATAGATGCAAAAAACAGTACTGGATAAAATCCAACATCTCTTCATAATAAATACCCTCAACAAACTAGCATAGATGGAACATACTTCAAAATAATAAGAGCCATGCATGACAAACTACAGGCAACATCAGATTGAACAGGGAAAAGTTGAAACCATTTTCACTAAGAACTGGGAAAAGACAAGGATGGCTACTTTAACTAATTCTATTCAATATAATACTGGAAGTCCCAAACAGAGCTATCACGTAAGAGAAAGAAATAAAAGGCATCCAAATTGGGAAAAAGGATGTCAAATTATCTCTGTTCACTGAAGATATGATTGTTTACCTAGAAAACCCTAAAGACTCTTCTAGAAGATTCCTAGACCTGATTAGTGACTTCAGTAAAGTCTCAGGATACAAAAATCAACATACAAAAGTCAGTAGCACTTCCATACGCTAATAATGTTCAAGCTGAGAACCAAATTAAGATCTCAACAGCTTAGTTTCATTAATTCTATCTAACTTGAAACAAATATTATACTTAATAGAGAAACATTAGAGGCATTTCCACTAAAGAAGCAACTTTACGTTGATCTTGAAATTCTAAGTAATTCAGTAGAATAGGTGAAATGAGAAAAATACAGGATATAAAATTGTTTAAAAGAGATATAAATTTAACATTACTTGGGAATGTTATGTTTCTATATCTGCTAAACTCAGAGAATCATTAGAATAAAGATAAAAAGTAGTAAGATTTCATAAAGCAGAAATTGTAAAATGAAAAAAAAATCACGGTAGTCACCACACAATGAAAATACATAATTTCTAGGAATATTCTTTAAATAACAAAATGAATGAAAACAATTAGTGTTCTTCAAAAGGCAAATTCATTGTTTCTCACTGCTGTATCATCAGTGCCTGTGTCTAGAATATAATAGGCATTTAATTTATATTTGTTGAAAGAAGCAGTGATTGAGTGAATGAATAAGTGAGCTTATTGAAGCAGGAACTATGCTATTTATCTTACGTCTTCAGGTTTTCTAGTTTGTGTACATCAAGGTGATCATACTAGTCTCTGATGATCTTTTTTTGTTTTTCTGGTATCAGTTGTGATGTCACCTTAATCATTTCCAATTGTACTTATTTGAATCTTCTCTCTTTTTTTTCCTTAGGCTAGCTAGCATTCTATCAATTTCCTTTATCCTTTCAAAGAACCAACCTTTTATTTCATTGATCCTTTGTATCATTTTTTGGCCTCAAACTCATTTAGTTCTGCTCTAGTATTTTTTCTTCTGCTACATTTAGGTTTGATTTGTTCTTGTTTTTCTTATTCTTTGAGATGCAGCATTACATTTCCAGCTGAAGATTTTTCTATTTTTTATGTAGGCATTTAATGCTATAAAATTTCCTCTTAGCAATGCCTTCACTGTATTCAGGAGGTTTTGTATGTTATGTTGCTATTTTCATTAAACTTTTTATTTTGATTTCTGACTTGATGCTGTTGTTCAACCTGCTTTTTCTTGTTTTCAATTTGTGTGACAGATATTTCTCCAACCATTTACTTTGAGCCTATGGATGTCATTACATGTGAGATAGGTCTCCTGAAGACAGCAGATCATTAGATCTTATTTATTTATCCAATTTGCCACTACATGTTTTAAGTGGGGTATGTAGGTCATTTAGATTCAAGATTAATATTGATATGTAAGTTTTTATTCCTGACATAGTGTTGTTAGCTAGTTGTTTTGGAGTTTTAATTACGCAGTTGCTTTATAGGGTCTGTGAGTTCTGTATATATCTGTCATTTTCTGATGCCAAGTATCATCCTTTAGTTTCCACATTTAGAATTCCTTTGAGCATTTCTTGTAGGACTGGTCTAGTGGTGACAAATTGTCTCAGTAATTGCTTGTCTGGGAAAGAGTATTTCTCCTTCATTTATGAAGCTTAGTTTGTAGTAATATAAAATTCTTAGCTGACATTTTTTTTTTAAAGGAGGCTAAAAATACAACACCAACCTCTTTTGGCTTGTAAGGTCTCTGCTGAGAAGTCCACTGTTAGTCTGATTGGTTTTCCTTTGTAGATGATTTGAACCTTTTCTCTAGCCGCCTTTAACATTTTTTCTTTAGCACCAACCTTGGATAGTCTAGTAACCAAATGCCTCAGTAATGTTTATCTTGTATATTATCTCATAGGTGTTCTCTGGTTTCCTCATATCCGAATATCTACCTCTAGCAATATTTTTTAATTATTTATCCTCTCAAATGTTTTCCAGGTTGTTTACTTTTTCTTTTTCTCTCTTAGGAATTCCAATAACTTGTAGGTTTAGTTACATTACATAATCTCTTATTTCTCAAAGGTTTTGTTTTTTAAATTTTTTTCTTTATTTGCAACTGACTGGGCTAGTTCAAAAGAACAGTTTTTACGCATTGAAGTTCTTTCTTCCACTTGGTCTAGTCTAGTTCAGATGCTCGCTATGATGGGGAGGGATGGGCTGGTACCCGGGTCACTGGCAGAACTTTCAGGTCAGGGCAGGCAGAATGCTTAGGTGGTGGGATCCCAAGGGAATATCAGAGGCCTGTGGGGTTTATGTTTTTAACAGGGCTCTGGGTCAAAGCTTAAATATTCAGGCTGGGGCAGGGCAGCTGTGACGTGGGCCCTTCATTGGAAGAGCAGGAACCCTCAGCTGGGACAGTGGCAGCTGACAGCTATGGGGCATGTTGTGTGCTTGAACCTCCCTCCCACACAAGGAGTTCTAAATTTCATTGTTTGAAGCATGCAAAGGTGAGAAGCCTTCTTGCTCCTGAACTGGCCTGGGGGTGGTAGGGGCAGAATCAATGGAAGCAACAATTGTGAATATTTGTTGCTGGCCTCAGGAAACTGGGCTCTTAGAGGAATAACCCATGATTGTAGGGATCAGGCAGGGGTGGAAAGGCTGCATTGGAGATTGGAAGTCAGTGAGTTCTGTTTGGCAGGGAACAACAGAGGTGGGAAGTTGTGGGGTACATCACGTGCCTGCTACTCCTCTGTATCTCAGCTATGGAGTCCCATGCTGGAGGTACATGAAAGTGACCCATCTCTTCAGTCTCTCTCAATCTGGGAGCAGCATGTGCAGAGACAGCAGCAGCTGTGATCACAGAGGGCCTATCAGCTACTTCTGGAAGGTATGTACTCAGAACACAGAGCCATGACCGCAGTGATCAGCCAGGGGATGAGTAAGTGTGTTATGGGCCGAAAGGCAGCAAGCCCTGTTTGGCAGAGAGCAGTGAAGGCAGGGACTTGTGGGGCACAAGCCTACCACTATTCCTCCATATGTCAGCTATGACATCCATACTGGAGGTCCACAAATGTGCCCCACCTCCTTGTTCCCTCCCTGGCTTGGGGACAGGAGGAGTGAAGGCAGCAGTGATAGTGAAGGGCCTGTTAGCTACCTCTGGGAGTTATGCACTCAGAGAAACAGAGCCATGACTGCAGTGTTCAGGAAATTCAGGGAGGCTGTGCTGGGGACCCAAGCCAGTGAGTCCCACCTACTAAGGAGCTGCAGAGGCAAGGACTTACGCAGTATGGAGTCTAGCTGCTTCTTAGTACTATGGATGCGCCATCTATTCTAGGGACACGGAAAAATGCTGTGTCTCCTTTCTCAGTGGGGCAGTGGCTGCTGGAACCGGGCTGCTAGAAAACCAAAAGCTTGTGGGGTTGGTTCCATGTGGGCTTGAGCAGTGCCTCTGCACAGACTCCACATAGCTCTCTGCTGTTCTGGAAGCCCGAGGGAGTCAAGAGCTGAACTACAAAAGTCCATGGCAGAAGTGTGATCCCCAGGGGAGACTCTTACTCACTCACTCTTCCCCCACTCACTTTCCCAACTTAGGGAGCTTTCCTCGGCTCCATACCAGTTCTGGGTGGGTTAATGTTCAGCTTCATGGCTTCATTCCTCTCTGCTCTATGTGGGTCCTGTCACTTCCCTGGTGAATCACAAAGTGATCTCTTAGATAATCCACTTGAAGTGTTAGTATTCACTTGTTATTTTGTTTCCTTTCCATGAGAAAGGCATGGCACTATCTGGGTCTAGCCAGCCATCTTGAACTGAAACCTCTTAACTGTCTCTTGAGGAGATATCTCTTCATTTGACATTTGCCACCAGATAGGGTATGAGAAGTTTTCATTTCACTTACTGTACAGATCAAGTCTTCTTCTATGGTAACTAACTATAGGGAATGTCAATATTGACTAGCCCTTTTCAAATTCCCAGGTCTAGCAGACATTTATCTAGGACAGCTCTGCTGGACTAAGGTGAGACATTGTCCCCTCTTGGATGCCTAGTACTGACACTGAACTGATGGGGAGCAGCAAAAATCACAATTCTATTATCTGATGCTACCAAGGTTCTTAATATCCTTATGCCCTACCTTTAGCACTTTATCCACTGGGGTTATATAATTCAAATGCGATGTGCCTTTTCTAGGCCTACCTGATTTCTGCCTTATATATTTATAGGAAGTGCTAACTACAAATTATTGTAAATGCTTGGGGCATGTCAAGAAAAATACTCTGGTGACTTTGGGCAGTAGCACTGATGGTGATGGTATGCCATGAGGAAGGACAATATGTCTTCCTATGTTTTTTCAGTAAGCAGAGCTAATCTTCTTCATAAGGTAAAATTTAGATGTTTCTAAATCCAAAACCACGTAACTTACATTTTATATAAATCCTCTCCAATTTGACTTTGGATTTCAAAATTATCATAGCTAGCACTTGTTTTTCTGCATAATCATTGATATTTTATTAGTAAGGTGAAAAAACTTTCCAAGGAACAGCTAACCAAAAGTCATTTCCCTATTTTTGTCTGTTTATAAATATTTAGTTCTCAAAATTTATTGATCTAACTGCTGTGAATTCATGGTTTTTTTGTTTGTTTGTTTTGCTTGGTTTTGTTTTTTTTGTTTTTGTTTTTGTTTTTTGTTTTTTGGTTTTTTTTTTTTTTGCTGCTGGTACCTGTCATAATATACTGGGAATTTTTTTTTTTCAGTTGTAGTTAGATTTTTGCAGGTGGTAAACAAAAATAGCTTGTGAAAAAAAAACCTATAAAATTTGAAACTCTCCAGTTGTTTATTTAGGTTTTGGTTATCCAGAACTATTCACATCACATTTAGGACTCTGGTGTCTTTATAAGCCTTTACATTTAACAGAGATTAATAGTATTGAACTTAAACCTTGCTTCTTAGAAAGTGAGGACGAGAAAGATCATTTGCATCATAAACAAGGAACAGTCTGTGGACAAATGAAGCACCAGGTTGAAATGTGAACTATGCCACCATGAGCAATATATTTGGCTCCAGAAAAACCTATATACCACCTACTAGGTGGGAACGGGAGATGGTAAGTACAGCAGTCACTATAGCAACAGCAGGAAGAGATAATTTTATTTTCATCTTGCTTAATAAAAGAATGCCACCAGCTGGCATTAAGGATACCAGTAGCTCCCTTTTGGAAAAAAAAAACCCTGGCAAGGCAGTGGCAACAGCTGCACAAACATCAGAAAACAAAGAGAAATGCTATCTCTCACTCTCTCTCTTGATCCTTAGCCCCAAATGATTAAACTATGCAAAGCCAGATAATTTTTTAAAAACTATATATTATTTGCTCTAGCCAAATATATGACAAAATATATAAATATGCTTATGTTAATATATACACACATATATAGATAGATAAAGACAATGTGATGTTGGTTAGCTTAATGTGAAGGAATGGATAGAATGGTGCTAATTTTATTATCAGAACATATGTTACCATATTATCATTGAATTGGAGACAATCAAATTCAACCTAAATAGAAATCAAAAAGGATCTGATTTTTTTTCTTTGCCCACAACTCACTACATCCTTCCTGCAGTATCCTTGCCATGAACACAGAGGCATCAGCTTGTGAGAGACTGCAGTGCTTTAGGTATTATTGTGCTTTCTGTGTCTGAAATCCTGTCTGCCATTTAGTGGGTGCTCAACAAACATTTGTCTAATAAATTAATACATTATTGAATTACTATCTGAACGCAAACTTTTTTTTCTAAAGTTTCTTAAGGTTTAGCAAGAGAGCAGATAACAAATTTAAAAATCTTTCATGATGTGGTAGTCCAAGTTGTCCACCTATTATTTGCTCAAAATAATAATCAGATTTATTTAAATGATAGTAATGACAAATAAGAACATGTGCTTTTTTAGGGTGTTATAAGAGTGTCTTGATACATAGTTGGGGAAG
This sequence comes from Homo sapiens, assembly GCF_000001405.40. Lineage (NCBI taxonomy): Eukaryota > Metazoa > Chordata > Mammalia > Primates > Hominidae > Homo > Homo sapiens. Next base: position 99,893,240 of record NC_000011.10, on the reverse strand, counting down.
AAAATGACACTGATATTCTTTGTTCATATTGGAGATGCCACTGTAAAATTTAAAAGTGGACCTTTTTGATGTAAAGGCATTTTCATGTTCTGGAATTTTCCTACTAAATGAAAAATTCCTGTGGAGTGGTTAATTTTTATATTTCAGTGTTGATCTCAGTCCTCAATCTTTCCTGGAAACATTTGCTGAGACTCCCAGCTGAAAAGATTCTATTCTTCCTCCAAATAGAGCACTTAATGCTCATGCAATATATTTAGGAGTTATATTGCTTCATTTCATGCTCATGGATAGGAAGAATCAATATCGTGAAAATGGCCATACTGCCCAAACTTATTTATAGATTCAATGCTGTCCCCATCAGGCTACCATTGACTTTCTTCACAGAATTAGAAAAAACTACTTTAAACTTCATATGGAACCAAAAAAGAGCCCACATAGCCAAGGCAATCCTAAGCAAAAAGAACAAAGCTGGAGGCCTCAAGGCTACCTGACTTTAAACTATACTACAAGGCTACAGTAACAAAAACAGCATGGTACTGGTACCAACACAGATATATAGACCAATGGAACGGAACAGAGGCCTCAGAAACAACACTGCACATCTAAAACCATTTGATCTTTGACAAACCTGACAAAAACAAGCAATGGGGAAAGGATTCCCTATTTTAAAAAATGTGTTGGGAAAACTGGCTAGCCATATGCAGAAAACTGAAACTGGACCCCTTCCTTACACCTTATACAAAAATTAACTCACGATGGATTAAAGACTTAAATGTAAGACCTAAAACCATAAAAATCCTTCAAGAAAACCTAGGTGATACCATTCAGGACATAGGTATGGGCAAAGACTTCATGACTAAAACACCAAAAGCAATGGCAACAAAAGCCAAAATTGACAAACGGGATCTAATTAAACTAAAGAGCTTCTGCAGAGCAAAAGAAACTGTCATTAGAGTGAACAGGCAACCTACAGAATGAAAGAAAATTTTTGCAATCTATCCTTCTGACAAAGGGCTAATATCCAGAATTTACAAAGAACTTAACAAATTTACGAGAAAAAAAGCAAACAACCCCATCAAAAAGTGGGCGAAGGATATGAACAGATACTTGTCAAGAGAAGATATTTATGTGGCCAACAAACATACGAAGAAAAGCTCATCATTACATTAGAGAAATGCAAATCAAAACCACTATTAGATACCATCTCAGGCCAGTTAGAATGACGATCATTAAAAAGTCAGGAAACGACAGATGCTGGAGAGGATGTGGAGAGATAGAAATGCTTTTACACTGTTGTTGGGAGTGTAAATTAGTTCAACCATTGTGGAAGACAGTGTGGTGATTCCTCAAGGATCTAGAACTAGAAATACCACTTGACCCAGCAATCCCATTACTGGGTATATACCCAGAGGATTATAAATCATTGTACTAAAAAGACATATGCACATGTATGTTTATTGCAGCACTATTCACAATAGCAAAGACTTCGAACCAACCCAAATGCCCATCAATGATAGACTGGATTAAGAAAATGTGGCACATAAACACCAAGGAATACCACGCAGCCATAAAAAAGGATGAGTTCATGTCCTTTGCAGGGACATGAATGAAGCTGGAAACCATCATTCTCAGCAAACTAACACAAGAACAGAAAACCAAACACTGCCTGTTCTCACTCATAAGTGGGAGTTGAGCAATGAGAACACATGGACACAGAGAGGGGAACATTACATACCTGGGCCTGTTGGGGGGTGGGGGCCTAGGGGAGGCATAGCATTAGGAGAAATACCTAATGTAGATGATGGGTTGATGGGTGCAGCAAACCACCATGGCACGTGTATACCTATGTAACAAATCTGCACGTTCTGAACTAGTGCCCCAGAACTTAAAATATAATAATAATAATAAAAAGATATTGGGACATCAAAAAATAATAAAAAATAAACTTTTCATTTTAGAATGGTTTGAGACTGTAAGAGAAATTGAGAAGCTAGTAAAGAAAGTCCCCATATACCCACATCCAGATTCCCTTATCTTACATAAATATGGCAGACTTGTCACAATAATCAACCAATTTTATATATTGTTATTAACTAAAGTATACAATTTATTCAGATTTCCTAAGTTTTGACCTAATGTATTTTTTCTGGTCTGTTCAAATCCCATCCAGAAGACCATATTACATTGTTGTCATGTCTTTTTCAGCTTCTCTTGGTTGTGACAGTTTCTCATACTTCCCTTTTATTTGCAGTTTTGGTCAGTTATTTTGCAAAATGTCCCTCAATTGGCAATGGTCTGATTTTTTTCCCCCATTATCTTACTGGGGATATTGGTTTGAGAGAGAAAGATCACAGAGGTAAAGTGCCATTTCAAACACAGCTTATCCAGGATTCATATTATCACCATGACATGTTGATGTTGATTTTTATCCCTTAGTCGAGATTGTGTTTGCCAGGCTTCCCCTCTATAAAATTATTCCTTTTCCCTTTTTCCGTGCTGATTCTTTGGAAGGAAATCTCTAAGTACATGCCACACTTAAGCAGTGGGTGGTTTGGTTTTTGTCTCCATGAGGGCGGAGTATCTTCAAAAATTATTTGGAACTCTGAATGGGAAATTTGTCTATTCTCTCCTTTTAGTAATTCTTTCAATCATATATGTATATATACACACACACATGTCTATTTCAATCATATATGTATGTATACATACATGTATGTTTCAGTCATATATGTATATAGACTTACATTATTGAATACATATGTACATATTCAACATTGAATATATCTTATATATAATCCAATATTACACAAAATATAAAATAAGTATCTATGAATTGATACTGATATATATATATAAGGAAGAGAGAGAAGGAATATATTTCTTTATATACTGAGATATATATACTTCAGTATGATTCATAGATATTTTATATTTTGTGTTATAATTCAATATTACTTTCTTTTGTTTCTCATTGTTCTAGCTTCTGCCATTGTGAGCTCTTTCAATTGGCTCCTGTTGACATATCCCACCACTGTGGAATGTTGTTGTTGTTTCTGAGAACTTTCATACATTCTTCCACTTTATTGCTTTTTTATTCAATTCTTCATGTCAAATATATTGCCCATTGAGGGGAAACCCAACATAAGTTTCTGATTTCCTGTCCATGAGTAATAATTTATTTGGTCCATGACAAATAAGCACTATGAGAAAACATATGTGATTAACTAAGATCTCTAATTGTAGTCCTTTTTGTGACAATGAAAAAGGTGATCTTATCGAGGTGAAGATAAAATAAATCAGTATGTAGAATATAATTTTTAAAAATAATTTTTAGATAAGTTATTTTCTGTAGCAAAAACACCTCAATAGTATTTTGGAAGTATAAGAATGTCTAGACCAGGCATGGTGGCTCATGCTTCTAATCCCAGCACTCTGGGAGACCAAGGCAGGCAGATCACCTGAGGTCAGGAGATCGAGACCAGCCTGCCCAGCTGGCCAAGATGGTGAAACCCAGTATCTATTAAAAATATTTTAAAAATTAGCTGGACGTGGCAGTGGGCACCTGTAATCCCAGCTACTCGGGAGGCTGAGGCAGGAGAATCGCTCGAACCCAGGAGGCAGAGGATGTAGTAAGCCAAGATTGCACCACTGCACTCCAGCCTGGGCAACAAGAGTGAAACTCAATCTCAAAAGAAAAAAAAAAAAAAAAAAGAATGTCTAGTGGAATTTTTCAACATAACAAATAATGTTTTGAGCTTGTTGGACTTTTTTTTAATGGTACAGAGGACTATAAAATCTATTTTATGTGTCAATATTTATAGAATACTGTATTTTACTTTCTCATAATTATCAAATTTCATATATATGATGGAGAGATATATATACACACACACACACACACACACACACACACACACACACACACACACACACACACACACACACACACCTGCTCTGGAGAAAGGAACCAGAATGTGACATAAGCCCATGCTGACAACATCCAGTCTTTCTTATTTTAGGAAATGTAATATATGCAGGTTATGACAATGCCCATATATGTATGTTTGTATGACATTTTAGACAATATCTATTTATTCTCTCAATTTGTTAAATAATAAGGATCGTTGCTGGATAACAAATTTCATTTTGCCTGCTCTCTATACTTGTAAAATTCTACGGATGTCAGTTAATCATGATTATGATGATGATGATGATGGTAAGTGATGGCAATAATGAAAATTAAATAACTGAACCCTCCCTTTTGCTAATGACAATGTTAAGCATTTTATACGAATTCTTCCTCTTGACAACTCAAAACTGTGAGCATTTTCCTCATTTAGTAAATGACATAATGTAAACTTAGAGAAATTAAATTTGCCCTGCGTCACGCAGTAATGTGTCAAACTCAGGTCCAGCTTACACTAGAGTATGTAAGCTCAACTGTTCCGTAATTCCTCACCTCTCAGGATTTTGATTTTTTGAGAGCACTGAGGATAATGTCCTGTTAATATTTCCTTTCTTTATCTCTCTGTTATTGCCACAGAGGTTTTCTTTCCTGGGATGTTGCCCATTGCTGACAGCTCACTACCAAGAATGAATCAATGCCTAACAAATGTGATTCAGCTTCAGGCTTTCTGATCTTAGAAATAAAAATAAGCCTGTTTCAGCTCTCTTTCTTGATGCCCCAGATGTTTCCCCGATGGTACCCTGCCATGTTGTCACTAGTACCATAGGCTTATTAGGCACTTCCTGTTGTCAGTTGACTGTCAATCACAGTTTAACATCTGAGTCTCTGTGCTCTTTTCAGTCATCTAAGTTAACATATTGTTAGAGTAGTATCAACATTTCAACTTTGTCAAGTAGTATTAATTGCAAAGAAAAATGAAAACATTTCAGGTCACATATGCTTATCATAAAATATATATTCTTTACATTTGAATTTTGTAAAAGTGAGGTGGGTTGCAACTTGCTTGCACTGTGGCTGTACATCCCTTCTCCTTAGCAATTCAGGAAAATAGAAGAGTAAGCATCTACCTCTTATATGACAGATAAGTGCATGGAACGATGATAATGATTCGTAACATATAATGAGCATAAATATGTGCCAGGGACTGTGTTCAGTGCTATATACGTATTACCTCTTTTAGTTCTAAAAGTAGCCTTATGATGTAGAAGCTATTGTGAACAGGAGATAACCGAGAATTAGGAAATAAATAACACTCCCTAGGTGTGATGGTTAATACTGAGTGTCAACTTGACTGGATTGAAGGATGCAAAGTATTGTTCCTGGGTGTGTCTGTGAGGGTGTTGCCAAAGGAGATTAACATTTGAGTGAGTGGACTGGGAGAGGCAGACCCACCCTCAATCTAGGTGGACATCAACTAATGAGCTACCAGCATGGCTAGGCTAGAGTGAAGTAGGCGGAAGAAGCTGGAAGAACTACACTTGCTTAGTCTTTCAGTTTCATCTTTCTCCTGTGCTGGACGCTTCCTGATCTCAAACATCAGACTCCAAGTTCTTCAGCTTTTCGACTCGTGTACTTACACCAGTGATTTGCCAGGGGCTTTCAGGCCTTCGGCCACAGACCAGACTAAAGGCTGCACTGTCAGCTTTCCTACTTTTGAGGTTTTGAGACTTGGACTGGCTTCCTTGCTCAGTTTGCAGATGGCCTATTGTGGGACTTCACCTTGTGATTGTGTGAGTCAATACTCCTTAATAAACTCCCCTTCATATATACATCTATCCTATAAGTTCTGTCCCTCTAGAGAACCCTGACTAATACACTAGGACATTCAGCTAGTAAATTACAGAGCTAGAAATCCCATAAAATTTATTTGACCATGTTCTTAATGATTATGTAACACTTCCTTACTGCTGAAATAATAGTTTTAAAGGACTTATAAATCTCAGTTCACATTTACAAAAAATTACCATCTCTGCCAATCTTTATGAATTATTCTCCCTCAGGTCTCATTAGCAGAGACCACATCATTGGTCAAAACCACGGTGGAAATCTTGGCAGTTATGTTATTGACTGCCTTAGGGAAAGCAGGATGAGAGAAAGTGCAGATGCATGTCCAACTCACATGAACATAAAGAAATAAAATATTTAATGTTTTAACCACACAATAATTATATAATATTATCATCAAAATCATGTATGTAACATAATCCTGAGTTATGGAAAACTTAATGAATACCAATGAACCAGCCACAGTATTTAAGAAACAGAACCTGACTAGTATAATCGGTCTTTTGTATTCTCGTTTCTTCCTATCTTTTATATTCCTCCTGCCCCTCTCCTAATATTTTGAGATAAGCGCTTATAGATCCTTTTTTAAAAAAAAGAAGTTTCCTCACATATGCTTATCACAAAATATATTGTTTACATTTGAATTTTAGAAAAATGAAGTAGGTTGCAACTTGCTTGCACTCAATGCTATGTTTAAGGGTTCTTCATGCTATTGCGTGCATTTGGATTCATTAGTTTTCACTGCTGTAACATATTAACATATTTCATTTTCTGAATGTACTGTATTTTTTTAATCCATGTTTCTATTGATACCCACTAGCGTCATTACTAGTATTTTTGTTAAGACAACCGATCCTGCTAAGAACAGTCTTTTATATGTCTCATGGTATATGGTTTTCCCAAATGTTTTTACAAGCAACTGTTTATGAATTCTTAACCCACACCTCTCTAATACTTGATATTATGAAATTTCAACATTTTTGACTACTTATTAGACATCAAATGGTATAAAATATGGACTTACTTTGAATCTTTCTATTTATTAGGTTTGAGCATATTTATGTTTTACCATGGGTTTTCCCTTAGGTAAATACCTATTAATATGCATTGACTATTTCATAAAATATATACATACTTACACATATTTTAATTTGTAGAAGTCCTTTATATATTTTGATTACTAATCACTTGTCAGTTATATATGTCCAGATCTTTTTCCTCAGATTTTAGTATGTACATTTTTATGCTGAATTTTAAATAAGAGTTATTAATATGAATGCAACTGAATATGTGAATATATTACAGTGAAACATCTTAGTTTTCCCTAGTTCAAGATCATAAAGATATTTCTATATGTTTTATCTAAATGTTTTATAGTTTTGACTTTTACATTTAATTCTCAAAGTTATCAGAGATTATATTTGAATATAAACTTAATTTTTTAATGTAGATACACATTTTCCTAGTGATCTTTTCCTTGCAAGTTTGATGGAATTGATTTACAATAAAAATGGATTAGTATTTTCTCTGTAGAAATGTTTTAAGTTAATGATTAATTTTTTAATGTTCAAAGTTCTAGTTAAGCTTTAATTTCCTCTTGAATCAGTTTTGGAAAATTTTACTTTTGGAGGACTTTTTGCAACATTTTCAATTTCATTGCCAAATGTATTCATGGTATCTTCTTTCAATTCTCTATTACACTTGGAGTTGTGCCGTTTTTCTCATTCTTAATATATTTTTTGTCTTATCTCTTTATTACTCACCAAACTTTCTAGAGATATCTACGTTATTAACTACAAAAATGTTATTATTATGTGCAGTGATGCGTATTTGGCTGGATAGTCAATTCACCAATATCTTGCTAAGCATTTCTTACTGCATCTTAAAACGTTCCTGTTAGGATTATTTTTGCCTGAGATAAAAATTTTAATCCTTCCTTGAGGGTATAATTATTGGTTGTAAACTCTCAGTTTTGCTTATTTACAATTTTGTAAATAACATTTTTGACAGATTATTTTTCTGAAGACACAATTCTAAGTTGACAGCTATTTTTTTGTTCATCACTTTGAGGACTTTATCACCAAGTTGTGTGGTTTCTTTGGTTGCTGCTGAATAGTTTACTTGTCATTATTGTGTAGGCAGCTTTGTCTTTTCTCACTGCTTTTGTTTTCTCTCTTTTCTTTCTTTCTTTTTCTTTTTTTTATTTTGAGACAGGATCTTGCCCTCTTGCCCAGGCTGGAGTGCAGCAGCATGATCACAGCTTGCTGGAAACTCGACCTCCCTGGCTCAAACGGCTCTCCCACCTGAGCGCCCCCAGTAGCTAGGACTATAGGCACATGCCACCATGCCCTGCTATCTTTGTATTTTTTGTAGAGACAGGATTGTGCCATGTTGCACAGGCTGGTCTCAAACTCCTGGGCTAAGGTGATACACTCTCCTCACCCCCCCAGAGTGCTGTCATTACAGGTGTGAGCCACCACGCCTGGATTTTTCTCCCTGTTTTGTTTGTTTTGAGATGGGGTGTCGCTCTGTCGCTGAGGGTGGAGTGCAGTGGTACTACATCGGCTGACTGCAACCTCTGCCTCCCTGGTTCAAGCAATTCTTCTGCCTCAGCCAACCGAGTAGCTGGGACTACAAGCACATGCCATCACACCCAGCTAATTTCTGTAGTTTTAGTAGAGATGGGGTTTCACCATTTTGGTCAGGCTGTTCTTGAATTCCTGACTTCAGGCGATCCACCTGCCTCAACCTCCCAAAGTGCTGGGATTACAGGCGTGAGCCACCGTGCCCAGCCTTCTTACTGTTTTTAACATCTCTGTAATATATGTTCTACAGTTTCACTATAATGTGTCTAACTGTGGATTTCATTATTATTCATGTTGCTCAGTATATACGTACCTACAATATCTGTGGAATCATAATTCTTATGAGTTTTGGAGAATTCTCAGCCACTGCATCTTTAAATATTTGTTCTTTCACTATTATTTCCGTTCTCTTCTGCTTCAACAATGTCTATTCTACTCTTTAAATATTTCAGTAAACATATTTCATTTTAAAAGTTATATTTGATTATTTTTCAAATCTCTTTGGTCAATTTGGATAATGTCTTAGTTCTTGTTTATTTTTATTAAATTACTATTTTCTTCAAACATTTCATACATAGTTATGTTATATTCCGTATCTACAAATTATATTATTTTAGTTTTCAGGGTACAAATCTAATATTTTTTCTCTTTGATCTTTTACTATTTGTTGTAACATTTTCCTTTATGAATGATGATGTTTGATTGTTATTTCATATATAGTTCATGTTAACTTTTAGAATTTCTGAGGTCTATATAGAATTTCTGAATATAGATTCAGGATCTTTCCTCCAGGGAGCACTTCCATTTGCTTCTCAGGATTCAGGGGTGCTTCTGTTTGGGGGCCGTTACAGCTACCTTCCAACTTGTTTGAACACTAAAGGTGAAAACAGAATCACTTTAATTGTACATATTCCCCAATATGAATTTTTACCAGTGATTTAAAAGGTAGAAGCAATATCATGCAGAAAATTAACATTCCTTTCTGGAAAAGTATGAGTTGCAGAAGACGTGGCTTCTAATATCTTATCTTCTGTAACAGGACTTGCTTTGTTTTTGATTAACATATAGTGAGTCTGAAAAGGGTGTGGACATGCTGTTCTTAAAGAAAGCTGATTTAGTTTTGGGGCTCTCCTGGTTTCTATTTAATTCAACAGATAGAAGATAGTGACTTTTCTCACTCTCCAGACAGCCATACTTTATAAATACATAAACTCCAGGTTCATACATAATAGGTTATCAAGACAGGCCAGGAGTATCCTGAGTGATTAGGGGATTTTTGTTTTCACTGTTTTGTTTTGTTTTGTTTAATAGGGACTCTTCATAATCTTTCTGCCAGTAAACACCATGAGCATGTTAACAAGGAAGCCAGGCCCATGCCAATCATTCCATTTAGAAATTGACTTTCTAACAGGCGTATGAATAGGTGCTCAACATCATTGCTCATCAGAGAAATCCAAGTCAAAACTACAATGAGATATCATCTCACCCCTGTTAAAACGGCTTATATCCAAAAGACAGGAGATAACGAATGCCGGCAAGGATAGGGAGAAAAGGGGACCCTCATACACTGTTGGTGGAAATGTAAATTAGTACAGCCACTACGGAGAACAGTTTGGAGGTTCCTCAAAAAAACTAAAAACTGAGCTACCATATGATCCAACAATCCCACTGCTTGGTATACACCCAAAAGAAATCAGTATGTCAAAGTGACATCTGCACTCCGATGTTTGTTGCAGCACTGTTTGGAATAGCCAAGATTTGAAAGCAACCTAAGTGTCCATCAATAGATGAATGAAGAAAATGTGGTACTTATACACAACGGGGTACTATTCAGCCACAAAAGAAAAAAGAATGAGATTATTTCATTTGCAACAACATGGATGGAACTAGAGGTTGTTATGTTAAGTGAAATAAGCCAGGCACAGAAAGACAAACATCATGTGCTCTCACTTATTTGTAGGATCTAAAACTCAAAACAATTGAAATCATGAAGATAGAGAGTACAAAGATGGTTACCAGATGCTGGGAATGGAGGTGGGGGGAATAAAGAGGACATGGGAATGGTTAATGGGCACAAAAAAAGTAGTCAGAAAGAATGAATAAGACTTACTATTTGATAGCACGACAGGCTAACTATAGCGAATAATAATTGAATTGCACATTTTAAAAATAACTAAAAATATATAATTGGATTGTTTTTAACACAAAAGATAAATGCTAAAGGGGATGGATAACCTCATTTTATATGATATGATTATTAGGCATTTTATGTCTGTATCAGTATATCTCATGTACCCCATAAACACATACACCTACTATGTACCCACAAAAATTAAATTAAAAAAATAAAAAATGAGTGATTTAGAGATCTCTTGTTCTCAAAATTGTGTTCAGATTTACTCAGAATGTTTTACTGCTGGTTCTTGCTTGAGGCTACTGAATGTATAACTGACTTCAGCGTCTACTTTTAAACCAAATCTCTTTTATTGGGTGTTTACTGCTCAAAGTTCATTTTTAGCAAAAATTTTTCTTTGGAGGGGTGGGTGCATAGGCTGGCAGTGAGTGTGCTCTTATAAATTCATCCCACTTCATGCAAGTCCAGCAATAGTTATCTTTTATGAAAACCATAAGTCTTTTAACAGGAGAGCTTCACAAGAGTATCTAGATCACTTACTGATGAAAACTCATATATAAAATATAAACCATGACCATTAAGGGTGTTATCTATGTATTATTTTACAATTAAACTTATTTTCAGCAGAAGACTTTATTAGCATTTTGCCTTTTAGCTTCACAGTCCCTCAGTCATCTTTGCTAAAATAGGCTGAGATGGCTTTGTGTCAGGTTATATGCCTCTCCACAATTTCAGTGCTAAACTACACTATCTGAGCTTATCTGTCAGGCTTCTGTTGTCCCCATTCAGGCTCAGCAGAGTAGTGGTAAATTCAGTGCTATATTTGATCAACAGTAATAGCTAAGACTGTGATCTACTGTGATGAACAAGATGAGATAGGAGTAACTTACTTGGAAGCTATAGAATGTTATCAGACAATACTGTGCAACTCTCAGATAGTAGTCGGCTGAATAAACTGCAAGCTCTGCGATACACGGCTGGAGGGAGAGCTAGCTTTGCTACAAATCATAGTAATGACCGAAAACCCAGCACTAGCAGCTTCTGTACCAGTAAAAAATCATTGCCTCAGGGCAGATTTAGTTTATACGCAGCACTTACTAAGCCAGCTCCCCCCCTTTATTTTATTTTAAAAATAACAACATTGTTATCACTATATACTACCTGAGGACTCAAGTTTTTAAAATGTTTAAATAGCCCTTAAATCCCTTTTGACATATTGTATGCTACTGATATGAGAACAATGATGCTGTAATTCATAATAGTGGACTTCAATGAATTTTTAAAAAGCATAACTAATGTAGAATCAAAGTGACTTTTCTCAGGAAATGTACCATACATTCCCCATGTAAAATCATAAATATCACTTACATAAATCATTTCATAAGGAACTAAAAACATTCTCCGTTCTGGCTATAATTTACAAAAGTTGGGAGTAGGCATTTTATTTTGTATAATCATTATAATTCAACTGTCAAAACTTAAAAACTGTTTCCTATCCTGTGAAACCATGTACTGTGGTTTGTATTTCACAAGAGTGTGTAGTATGTAGATCAAATGTGTCCTCCAGCAGCTCTTGTTCCTAGACTGCCTGCAGCACAGAAAAAAATCTCACTCATCATACCTGTACCAATCCAGAAACATACCTCTATTAATGCTACTGCACAATCTGTCTGAATTTCCAATAAATCATAGATGTGTGCTAAATAATTGCTGCCAGTTTTAATTGAAACTAGTTTGCAACTCTTAAAGTCAATTACTATCTCCATAGTTAGCCTTAATTTTCTCAGTGGATAGCTTCTAATGAACCATGACAATTTTTAGGTACACTTTATAAGTTTTATTTCAAAGAGAGACAATTTTTTTAAATATTAAAAAAGTCATAACATTTCCCTGTGCTTCCTCACAAATAGATGGTTGAAGTGGTAGAGGTGAGTTTTTACTATCTCCAAAATAATATTTCCTACACCTAAATAGAGATGACAATTCTATTACCCTACTGTTGTATAATAATATCCTTGAAATTCTCCACTGAGAAGGTGATTTAAACAAATTATTTTTTGTCAAGGCCAGAGAATAACATTTTGCAAAGGACAAAAGCAATTCATAGTATTACAGAAAATGTTGGTGTCTACAGATTTTTTATACACCTTCAATTTCAATTGTATTTGTAAAATTGAGCAAGCACATCAAACATTAGTCTCTTGGGAGCTGCTTGTGGCATGAAATAAGGATTTCATCAACTCCGAAAAACTTTTGAAGCTTATTTTAATCGCCAGTTGGTCATTTACAGTGCCAGTCCTGTTTTGTTCTATTTCATTAACCACGAGTGAAAAAAAATGAATGGAGTAGAAACAGTTATTCTCTTTCATATTTGTATTTACTTTTCTGATTCTATGAGTACTATTTTCTTATTCTATGAGTACTATTTCTTATTCTATGAGTATTATTGCATAAGCAACTGTTAGCCATGTACCACTCTGTGAATTACAAAACATTTATTGTGAGAGGAAAAGAGGGACACAGAGCAATGGCAACATGAATGCTATTTATTGTCCATTTATATTTTCATGATTTTCCATGATATAAAATGTTTTCAATTGCCTCATTGATCATATGCAAAATATTAATGAACACACGCTATGCATGTGAGGGAAAATGTAATATGTAACTATATACAGTTTACTTCTTCAATCTGGCATTAGTTCAAGAATAGTGAACGGGGAGAAAAACCTGGTTGGCTAGTAGGGAAACCCACCTCACTTTGAAAGATATTCTCACAGACTGCAATGAATTTTGTTTTTGTTGACATTTTTGTCCTTAAGGAGGAAAAGTATTTTAATAAATAAATACTGCTTCTCCTGAAAATGAGTGTGCAGGAGGACTATGGAGTTGTTAAGGACATAGACTTCTTGCTAGACCTACTAAAGTCAAATCCCAGTTTCCACACACTCTCGATCTTAGGCCAGTTTCTTAATCTCTTTCTTTTATATAATTTGCAAACCTATATAATTTCAAGCAGCTTGTGTAAAAGTTGTCGTAAGCATTGCATGGAATAAAGTGTTAATACTATTTGACATAGGACTGCCCATAAACGAACTCAATAAACGGTAGCTAGCAGTGTTTTAAAATTTAGGAGCCACAGTTAAAAACAAAATGAAACAAATCAGAAAAAAAACCCAAACTCAAACACAGTTCGCACTAGGTATGATGTAGACAGAAGTAACATCGATAGAAGTTTCTTAAACCTGTAGCATTTCATTCTCTGCATAGTTTTGGGAGCTTCTATGTTTACCTGTTCTGTCCAATTTCAAAATGCCAAGTTTTTCCAAAAGCTACCAATGTGTACTATCTGGTCCGGTGATATATATCATCAGTAACTAAGAAAAAATTAATTTTATAATGACAGGGAAGAGAAGCTTTCATGCAGTTTTGTTTATTTATTTTTCCCTTTCTACTTTTTAAGGCTTCCCTTACTCTTTGATTTTGTGAGGTCTTTCCTTTTCCCACTAACTTACCAGAAATTATCTTCACTGGCCAGGCACGGTGGATCACGCCTGTAATCCCAGCACTTTGGGAGGCCGAGGTGGGTGGATCACCTGATGTCAAGAGTTCGAGACCAGCCCGGCCAACATGGTGAAACCCCATCTCTACTAGAAATACAAAAATTAACTGGGCGTAGTGGTACGCGCTTGTAATCCCAGCTAATCGGGAGGCTGAGGCAGGAGAATCGCCTGGACCCGGGAGGCAGAGGTGGCAGTGAGCAGAGATCAGATCGTACCACTGTACTCCAGCGCGAGCGACAGAGCCAGACTCCGTCTCAAGAGAAAAACAAAAACAAAAAACAAAACATGTATCTTCACCAGAACCTTTTGGGAGTATCATCTTTTTTTAAAAAAAATTATTAATTATTTTTTTTGAGACGGAGTCTCGCTCTGTCGCCAGGCTGGAGTGCATTGGCCCAATCTCGGCTCACTGCAACCTCTGCCTCCGGGGTTCAAGTGATTCCCCTGCCTCAGCCTCCCTAGTAGCGGGACTACAGGCACGCGCCACCACGCCCGGCTAATTTTTGGATTTCTAGTAGAGACGGGGTTTCACCATGTTGGCCAGGGTGGTCTCAATCTCTTGACCTCGTGATCCGCCTGCCTGGGCCTCTGAAAGTGCTGGAATTACAGGCGTGAGCCAGAGGTATCATCTTAAATAATCAAAACCAAAGTACTGATTAATGACAGAAAGGCTTTGCTTCTTAGAGTGTGTTTTTTAATGGTATTTTACCTGTAGTTTTTTTTACAATGTGCATGACACCTATTGCACATGCCATCACTACCTTGCACTGTTGTTCAGAATTTGAAAAAATTGTAAGTTGTACAATAACTATTTATCCCCACTTCAGTCCTTCTCTCACATGCCATTAGTAGCTTTCCCTTCATCAAAGTAAAGTCAACTTATATATCTTTTATGACAAAACACACAGAAGAAGTAGTGTAAAAGAAAAAGCAAAAAGAAGGTAAGAATGGGAGCCAAGACATTTGACTCTGATTCCAGGGCTCTCAACAGTCAATTCTGTCATGTTAGAAAAGACTTAATTTCCTAGATCTAACTTCATTTGCCTCTAAAATAAGAAGGTTAAAAGAAATAATCTCAAACTTTCTTTCTGCTCTACAATTCCAGATGCCATCATTTTTTGGTACAGTTATAATGTATGCTACATATTTAACAGAAAATAGCTGGTGTGAAACTTGTGGGGTGTCTTAATAAGTAATAATTAAGGCAGACTGTATTGAAGTAGACTGCTTAATATGAAGTTCATTACCATGCACTCTCACAGAATCCTACCCTTCAAAGCAATAAACTGGAAGATGAGAATGTGGTGAATATTTTAAAAACTTTTGATAGTGAATGGTGAAATAAATTGGTATTATACTGACATGGAAAACTTATGCATTATTTACAAAGTCAATAGGCAATATGAACAGATTTAATAGTTATGAGGAAAGCTTAACATATGATTGAAAACCTATAATGCAAATGCAGATATAGTACTGTATAAAGCTGCACAGTATTGTATATTACTACAGCATGTAATTTTAAGCAATTAAGACTGTTATGTTAAAATTACCCTTTCTACATGTTAAAACAGCACTTTCCTTATTTTTTTTTTAAACTAAAGATTATGAAGAAATAAACTTAAAAATCCACTAAATCTGAATGGTTGATTGGAAATGCAGATATAAATTTACCTTGTGTTTAGATTTTTTAATGCTGTGGGATCCATAGAAAGAGACTTATCTCTGTCACTTAGGAGCCAAGAATGTGGTTTTGGTAAATTTCAAAGGCAGAGTAAATGAGCAGAACCAGTTCCTACTTGCATATGTCACTGTTGATATACTGGACCTGAATTCAGAAACAAAATTTCCAATGTCTTTGA
The DNA here is from genome assembly GCF_000001405.40 of Homo sapiens. Taxonomy (NCBI): domain Eukaryota; kingdom Metazoa; phylum Chordata; class Mammalia; order Primates; family Hominidae; genus Homo; species Homo sapiens. The sequence continues at coordinate 99,877,344 of NC_000011.10, read as the reverse complement.
AAGACTAGATTTTTACTCCCAATGGGATCTGGCTGAGTAGTTCAATTAAAGATAGATCTGTCTGCCGGTGTATTTAAGCCACTATTTATCCTACGGGGTTTCATAAAACTGGAGCATGTTCTATTATAAAGAATTTTATAGTCAATGGAAATAAAGTTTCTTTTTCACAAAGATGGAAAACACTTTTAAAGTTAATTTCCAAAGGGTATTAAAAATCCATATTAATGAAAATATGGAAAGAATTTTATTCCATGAACCTTTCAACTCCATTTAAAACCATCTATATCATGGCATCTAATTATCACTCCTACAGCTCTTTTTTTCTCCCTAGAATTTAAAAGCAATTTACATAGATAACTCACTTCTACAGAGAAAATCATTTAAAAGAATAAAAGAATAAAAGAAACTGAGGCACACAAAAGTTAAGAAGTTTGGTCACTATTACACAATTGGTGATGCAAGAATGAAATTTATCATTTAGTATAGCAATAAGGTGATGGAGTTCAATCATATTCTCTCACCTAAATTCAGTGTGAACTTAGAAAATCACTTAATATATCTGAGCCTCATTAAGTGTAAAACTGAATAATCTGCCTTGTTCAGGATTGCTACAAGGTTTAGGGGCATTGACATAATACATGTAAGAAAGTTTGCTAAGTTCTAAAATGATGCTAATTTTTATACTATGTTATTCATGCTTCTGTGGCAGTCTCTGAAAGATCATTTATTCATTTGATAACTCGACCAAGAAACTTGAATGCCTCATGTGTTATAGTACAATAAATGTACATGTATTCAGACCATACCCCCCACTGTACTCCTTAATGCAACATCAACTCCAGGTACATATAGTGCGGCTGGATCATGAGAAAGAAGCTAAATAGGGCTCATGCATTGCCTGGAACAAAGGGAGAATGCAGTGTAGGAAGGGAACACAGTTAACCAATGAGGGGAGCCTGGGATCAAGACTAGAACATCAATTTCCAGATATCAGGGGCATATATCAGTACAAAGGTATAGTTAGCGGACAGTGCAAAAAGCCAGAAACAGAGGTTAGCAGTAACAGATTAGGAAAAAGGGCCTAACATTTGAAGCCATGGGGTTCCAGATGCAGGTCCTGAACAACCATCCATAAGGAAATGTGAGGAGTTTCCTTACGGATGTTGGTCGCATGGCATAGGGATAGCTCAGCTCAGTGAAAGTTACAGAGTATTCTAGACAGTAGCAACTATGCATCACAAAACTGGAAAAAAATGAGAAAGCTTATTTGATGCCTTTCAGCAGGAGATGATATGTAGTATTTCACTCATTATTCCTAATTTTGTGCTAGTATTAAATTATCAATGTCCAGCCTGGAGAGTTCTTCTAACTCTCCAGGGTTAGAGTGTTAATTAAAGCATATAAAAATCTGTTGAACTTTTGTGATTTCCTTTTATGGTGTGAAAAATCACTACAAAAATGACCTTATATAACAGTGCTTATACAATTAAGTCAATATTTTTAACACTTATGTAAAATATGGGAAGGCTGATTTATTCATTGAGTCATTTATTTTGCAAATGTGTATTGTCTATTATGTATTTCATATATATATATCCTTTAAAAAAGGTACACCAGAGTGTACAGACTTTTAGCAAGACAATTTGGAAAGAGTTACCACAAATGTGTCGAGTGTTTGGGTATGGAATGCTTTAGGACTGTACAAAATAATATGAGAGATTAGGGAGGTATATCTGAGGAAGCTGAAGTTTTCCAGGAGCTATATAAAAGAATACAGTGCACACAGAACTACGAATGTACACATATCATCCACATTTTATAATTTTTAATACCTTAGTGCTATGGGAAAATTTATGAGCTTCCTATATTATTCAGTGGTAATAACAGGAGCATATAGAAAAAAAGCAAATGAAAGAAAATTGATAACTTGTTATTTTGCTCCACTTTAAGTATGAAGAGTGTTTTAATAATCAACTTCCCAGTTATGATAAACAGATTCAAACAAATCTATGAACTAAATAAAAATCATACCAACGTATGAAAAGAAAAATTCTCAGTAATTACTTTTCACTGATCGAAGTATTATTTTTCTGAGATTCACGTGTGTATGTGAGATGAAGTTAAAGAATAATTAGGAGAGATCTATTCTGTCATTCCTGGTAACTGTTAGAACAAAGATTTTCAGTGTGGAGGTAAAGGGATACAGATGTTCAGAAAAGATTAAGAAAACTATAATCCTCAATTTGGGTTATATGTATCAGTATAATTTGATATATTTGATTCTTACTAACGCTACAGCAATGAGCACCTCCAGTAATCTGTGTTCTTCAAACACCATTTCCCAACCAAAGAAACTAGACCTTCTAGAAGAAATGATGAATTTTAACTTTGTGGCTTGTCACAGCACACTGAGAGGAAGCTGGCACAGACTATTAGGGTCATTGTGAACGGCTCCAGGAGCCTACTTGAAGGGACTCCCATGGCCAAAAGGAAAAAAATTGAGCTTCCAAAAGAATAATGATTGCAAGTTATTGAACTGCAAATCTATCAATGTATTTAAATCCATAAATTACTTTTTTATCAAGTAAATTGTTCATCTTCAAATAATTCAATTTGTTGACTTGGAACTGACAAAGGGGATGAATCAAGCATATATCTTTTCTTTATGGCATCTACCATTAGGTAGTTTAATAGCAGATTACGAAGATGTATTTCCTTTTAAAAGTATTCCAACTAACAAATAAAAAGATAAATGATAGATTAGAATATCACCAACTTGCAAACCTAATGTGTTAATGGATGTAGGTATTATCCGTCAATAGCTACTAACAACACAAAAAGAAACACAACTAGATATTCCCTCCTGAGGAAAGAATTCATCACCATCATCAAAGGGCTCCAACCTGAGTCTGCTCAAGCCTCTGGATCCAGCTGCCAATGTGTGGGAAATACACCAATTCTGGCAACATGTTGAGCTCTAAACCATGTGTGTCTAATCAGAAAAATCCTAATCCAGACTGTGGGGATTTCTTCAGTCAAATAACTTAAGTTTTCAACAGATGAGTTTAAGAAAAGGAAAGGAACGGAGGAAGACCCTGCAGATTAATAGGAATTAAACAGACATATCTTTTTTATTTTAATTTTAGCTTCGGGAGCTACATGTGCTTGTTTGTCACATGGATGTATTGTGAAATGGTAGGTATTGGGCTTCTAGTGTATCCATTACCCAGTGAACATTATACCTGGTAGGTAATTTTTCAAATCCCCATTCCTTCCTCCCTCTTTCAGAGTTCCCAGAGCCTATTCTTTCTATCTTCACGTCCATGTTTACCCATTGTTTAGCTCCCACTTATAAGTGAGAATGTGCAATATTTGATTTGCTACTTCAGAGTTAGTTCACTTAGGATAATGGCCTCCAACTCCATTCATGTTGCTGCAAAGGATATGATATCATTCTTTTTTTATGGCTGCATTGTGTTCCATGCTGATATGTATGTATCACCTTTGCTTTGTCCATTCAACCTTTGATAGACATATAGGTTAGCTACAAGATTTTGCTATTGTAAACAGTGCTATGATAAACATGAGTGCAGATATATTTTTAATATAATAATTTCGTTTCTTTTAAGTAGATAGCCAGTAGTGGGACTGCTAGATTGAATGGTAGTTCTATTTTTAGTTCTTTGAGGTATCTCCATACTGTTTTCCATAAAGATTGAATTTACATTCCTACCAACAGTGTATGAGTGTTCCGTTTTTTCTGCATCCATGCCAATATCTGTTGTTTGTTGACCTCTTAATAAAAGCCATTCTGACTGGTGTTAAGATGATATCACAGTGTGGTTTTAATTTGCATTTCTTTGATGCTTAGTGATATTGAGAATTTTATTATCGGTTGGCTGCTTTATTCCTTTTTTTGTGTGTGAAATGTGTAGTCATGTCTTTTGACCAGTTTCTAATGGGGTTGTTAGTTTTTTTCTTGTTGAGTTCTTATAGATTCTGAATACTAATTATTTATCCTGAGGCATCATTTTCAAATATTTTCTGCCATTTAAAAAGGCGTATTTTTTTTTTAATGTGCAAAATCAAACTTTAGGAATGAACTCATGGGTAATACAAACTAAGTTAACTCAAGGAAGTAACAATTTAAATTCAGGAACATGGTTATGTATGGTTAGTGAGAGAGGTCTGAGATTGGGATGTGGCACAGCTACTGAAACTATCGCCGAAATTCTAGCTCCTGCCTGGGTGGCAGTTACAAAAGTGTTTGTAATAGTGATTCATTAAAAAATAAAAATTGTTGTGGTCTGTTTTGCTTGTATTACATTTATAAGGGTAAAAATGAAATAAACATCAAGTGGACACAGCCTGTTACCAAAATATGTTATTAGTCTCAGCCACATTGTTCATTAGTATACGGTTGGTTAGCTATATAGAGTTATTCTTATTTTTTAGATGATTTATGAAAATATAATCTCAAATATGTAACAATTTAAAATTCAGAAGTGTTAAGATTGCTATTAAGGACAGTATGTCAGACATAAAAGTAAAGATATCTTTAAATGAAATGTTTTGAGAAACTGGTACATGTTACTCATATAATGCCATCTTGTGCTTATGCTTTTTCAGGACTCAACCTGCTTGTTATTGGAAGACTAGATGAAACCAAAAATCATGATTTCCACCAGAAAGTCCGGCTTCTAGGAATCACCTCTGCTGTCTTGCAAACAAAGTCTCCTGCTAGCAGATACAGATTTTTGTCTTCAGAGTACCGGGTGGCAGGACTTTTCTTTTCTCTTCTGCAGGGTATCTTCAATTGTAATTCTTTCACTTATACTTGTTTAGCCAACTGCTGTCCTTAGGGAATGAGGCAAGAAACTTCCTTCCACATAGGTGTTTAATATTTTAATATTAAAGACTTTTCATCTCAAGGCTTTGTTCTATGCATTTTCATTAAATATTGTGTTTTTGGAATCAGAACCGAAATTTATAAATAAAATACATATGGTAATCATCTTTCTGGAAGTAAAAAATAACTCAGATGAATTCACCACAAAATATATTTCCAGTAAAGCAAAGAAACAAAAGCCAATTTCAAATTTTTTTTCATTTCATAGTGTATTAATGTGTTAATTTTGTGATGAATCCTAGAATCACTTGTTATAAAAACAGGTGGACACTTTGGATACAACAAAATGTTTTGTTTGATATATTTCAAAAGTATTGCTACTATTGTGACCCGCAGATGACAGGCAATGGTCAATAAAGAATACAGTGTTCATAAATATGTCCTTTAAAAAAGTTGTTTTGTTTTACTGTGCATAACCATTGTTTCCATTTATTTTTCTCTAAGGGCTATGTTTTTCTTTAATAAATTTAACAATATTAATGTGGCATTTGTTACAATATTATATTTATATATAAATATATAAAGAATGCATATAGCCAATATGCATCATGGCTAGATCAGAACTATATCTATTATGTTACTGTGTAAACCAACCAAACTAATAATTTCAATCACTAGATTTAATCAGAAGTAAACATTGTACCATCAGGCATTTAAACATAGACTTCTTGGTGACAAAATCAACTTTACATTTCAGCAGGATTTTTTCCAGCTTTTTTAAAATTTGTGGACAAATCAAAAGCTGTGCTAGAAAAAAGACAATGGATCCACAAAAATATTCATCATATTTTTCCTCCCTTCAACTTTATGTCCTTTTGTTGTTTTCTAAGCCATAAATGTATATAAATCACGTTTTCCCAGTACCTGACATTAAACACATGCTGGATAGTTGGAGTTTCAAGAGAACTGCCTTTGTGTTTGTTATCATCATGATCCAAATTACAGCTGTTAACACCAGCCTGATGATTAATCTTGAAAGAAGAAAATCATTTTTTCCAAGTTAATAGCAATTAAGGCAGCAATTATTTGCAATTTAAACAATCCAGATTAGGCTCACTAATGTTAAGATCATCTGAATAATGATTATATTAACCAGGGTCTGTATTTTAATCAATCTTCATTGCTCATTAAAAAATTGTAGAGCTCTGATTATTTAAATGTCTACTAGTTTATAATTTTCGCTTAATATTTTTCTATACACTGAAAATTCTCTTTTGTGGTCATATTTTCTACAAGAACTGATTTTATTACCTAGGGCTTAGTGATTATATTTCCCTTAGTTCTACTCTCAGGGGATCAACAATAGTAATAACATGTAACTGTGAAATTTTGTAGTTTCTTAAATTCAATAACTAAGATTGGTTTGATTCTATTATTAGTAAATTGCTACTTACAAATAAATTAGGCATTTTACCCAGTGTTCCCATGTTTTTAAGGCAATATATGCTAGCTCTAACTATAGTTAGGTCACGCCTCCCAAGAAATACAATCGGCCATATGGAACCTAAATAATGGCTATAAATATATTCGCTTTCAATGTATGTTATTGCTATGAAACTCAAAAGTCTGAGAAATCAGACAAAACCTCTCAAATGTAACAAAATCATTGAACCTCTTCCAAAGTATATGAGATTAACATATAACTCACTTCTGTTTTCATCCTTTAAGGAGAGGGGAAATATGATGAAGGTTTTGGTGAGATCACTGCCTTTTTAATTCCTAAGGCAGCTTTCAAATTGTCCGTAATTACAAAGAAAAGCTAGGGAAAACATTGCTATTTTAAATGTAAATTTAATTTTCTGACCCAGAGGTCTATGTCTACCATTGATGGTAGAATGTTTACTTCTGACTAAACTTATAATTGAAATTGTTAGTTTGGTTGGCTTACACAGTAAAAAAAGATGTATTTGTGACCTTGTCATTATGTTTAAATACTATATCAGTTTATTTATATTTTATCATGTCTAGTTATGACATAAAAATGACATTTATATCCATACATGGCCTACTCTAACAGAAAAGCTTCCTTGCTATTATTTATATTATATTATTGTCAAATATATTGATGGTAAAGTGGGGTTGGAACGTGTAAGGAGTGGAAGAGTGAAGTGACAGTGGCTGTTTGGAAACCATTGTTTTTTCCTTGGACAAAATTACTTTCACACTGTCACAGGAGAATTATCAACCTGGAGGTAAAATGAGTATACCTTTTGCCTTCAGTTAAAAAAAAATCACGTCTTTCTTCTTCTTCATGCTACATTTGTGCAATCAAATTTGTTTAAAGAGCAATTAAACATTTTCCTCTTTCCAAATATAGGCACAGCATATATCCTCAATCACAACACATTTATTATGCTATTCCCAGTTCCACTAGCAAAATCATGTATTAGTGTGCCTACCACTGAGAGTGGTGCCTTTTAATTAGGTGGCATGGCAGGGGGGAAGGGTAAATCAGCATTTCCATTTCCAGACAGCATCCTTAAGCTAACAGTGCTACTCAATATATTGCATCAGCCAGGAGGCTAAAACTGCTCAAAACTTTCTGGAAAATTTTAATTTTGACATTTTAAAATAGATCCCTAAGGGAGGAGTTACCTTTTTCTAATCATCTTTGCCACATAGATCTGAATTTAATATCTTAAATGCAGAAGCAAATTGAACAGAGATAACGTCTATGAAAAGCAACATGTCATACAGTAAGCTGCACTCTGCTCGATCCAGATCAATTGATCATATATTAACAATTCTTCATATTTTGGCCTGTCAGAAAGTTGCAGCTGGTGACTGTGTTTTTTGGTGTGTAATCTGAAGAAATGAGTATGTTTCTGCTATATATTTACAATATACAGCGGAAGTAGAAGTGACTATGATTGCCGTTTGGGTGATGGAAAGGACATTTAGGCAGTGGATAGTTGAAGAGGTCATTTGCATGTTTGCTAAAATTCTTAAGTAATCTCAGTTTAAAATTATACCAGTTTCATAAAAATAAACAAAAGTTAGGGTCTCTTTAATGTAAGATATATTCAAAATGTTAAATTTTATATATATTTATCTACTACCCAACAATCTATAACACAAAGGGCCATATCTTTGAGATGAGTTCTGGATTGAAATTGTTACTCTTGATTTTGACAATTCACAATTTCTTGGAGTTTTAATTTCCTCTGTGTATCCCATGTGAGTCTATGTGCTTCACCAAATTCACAGGCCCAGGTATGAAAATGTATGTGAGAACACTTTATAAACATTCAAAGACCTAAACCTAACAAAAATCTACGGAGGAAATGATCCTTTTAAAGTTATCTGAAACATAATGTTTTATTAGGTAAAACGAGTTTTATTTTTTAAAAAGATTAAGTTTTGAGACGTTGATAAATATAATAAGTGGGGCTGAATCAGAAGACACTGTAGGGGTGATTACCAGTCACAGGAGCTTGGGTCTGAACGTTCCAACTTAATTGGTGTTTGAAATCACTGCTATTGCCTGTCAGCATTTTAAAACTTGTTCTACTTCTTTTCTTTCCCATTCTTCCCACTGCTGTCAGACTAATGTACCTAAAACATGGTTTCATCATTTAAAAACCTATACGTGTCCCCTCTTATTTGCTGATGAATGTGCAGACTCAAGAGATTAAAGACCAGCTAAAACGCCCTCATTTTTCCTAATAGTATTTATCTCCCTGACTTCCCAGCACAAACTCCAACACTCTCCAACAGTCAATCTTCCTTACTACACACCATGCTGTTTACCACTTCCTACTTCCATTCACTCCCTTTTCGCCTCTTTCAGCATATTCCTGTTGACAACATGCTGGATGCACTCTTCAAAGTTGGGAACCAACTTGAAATCATTTTGTTCTAAACCCTGTTTTACTATATGAATAGTTTGCGAAATGGAGCACAGTCTTTGAAATCAGAAACCTAAGTTTAAATCTCATTTTCCTACTTGTTACCCAGGAAACCTTGGCCAAGCCTTAGCCTATTTATCTTTATCAACACAAAATGAGGATGGCTTATCTTTACAAGTTGTTTTGAAAATTAAAACAACTATTGTATACAAAGCAATAAGCACAGTAACTGGCATACAACAAATTTTCAACAAATGTTGGCTTAAGCTCTGTTTACAATTATTGTTATTGTTGTTGCATATTTTCTTATACAATGCTTTGTTCTCTGATTGTTTTATGTAGAATACAATTTTTTGTTTTTTTTTTTTTATGAGATGGAGTTTTGTTCTTGTTGCCCAGGCTGGAGTGCAGCGGCACGTTCTCAGCTCATCACAACCTCCGCCTCCTGGGTTCAAGTGATTCTCCTGCCTCATCTTCCCGAGTAGCTGGGATTATAGGCATATGCCACCACGCCCAGCTAATTTTTTGTATTTTTAGTAGACACAGGGTTTCTCCATGTTGGTCAGGCTGGTCTCGAACTCCTGACCTCAGGTAATCCGCCTGACTCAGCCTCCCAAACAGCTGGGATTACAGGTGTGAGCCACCGCGCTTGGCCAGTTTTATGTAGAACACTTCTTGCCTTTTGTCTCTTGTATACCATATCTGGCACAACCTGGGCAATTTCCTGTTTTTCCAGGTAGTAGGCAAAACAATTCAACGTTGTCCACATCTGAATCCTCAAATCTTTGACTATGTTAGGCTACATGGAAAAAGGAATTAACATTGAATATGTAACTAAGTCTGTTAATCACCTGACCTTATAATAGAGAGATTCTACTGGATTATACAAGTGAAGCCAATGTAATTATAAGGGCCCTCAAAAGTAGAAGGGGGAGGCAGAAGAGTCAGGACAGATGTGATGATGGGAGCAAAGTCAGAGAGATGCTATGGTTCTAGCTTTTAAGATGGAAGAAAAAGATCAGAAGCTAAGAAATGTGGGCAGCAGCCAGAAACTGGAAAATCTAAGAACATTGATTTTCTCCTGGAGCCTCCATAATGGAATGCAGTCCCACCAACACCTTGCTTTTGCTCTGCAAGACCCGTATTGGAATGACAAACAAAATTTTAAGATAATACATTTGCTCTTGTTTAAGCCTCTACGTTTGTGATAATCTGTCACAACAGCCAAAGAAACCTCATGCACTCTGGTTCTTATGATAGAATCCAGCATGGTACTGGCGCATAGTAGGTACTCAATAAATACATGTTTACTTAAGAACAAATCCTTATGCTGCTTCTTTCCTATGTGAAAAGAAGAAAACAATATGAAGGGTGGGAAAGATAGGTCTTAAATCTGGACAACAGTGATCTTGACTGCAAGATGCAACATGTTTATTGCTCTTTCTTTACAAGAGCATTAGTTGAAAGGACACAAGCTTTGAAGTCACTCAGATCAAGACTGGAATTCCAGGTTTACTTCTAAATAACTGGACAATGCTTTGGGATTGAAGACTTCTTCAATATAGTCTATGTGAACAGCTGCATTAACTTATATAGTTTCCACACACCTAAAATTGTAAAAACCTCCAACTATCTATACAATTCCAAATAACCCAAGCATGTCTGTCTCTCAGGTGACCACCTATCTATACAAAGATGTTGTGGGAAGGGTGAAGAGGGATTGGTAAGTACTGACTATAATGTGCCTCTCAGTGAAGAGAAATGACCACAAGGGAGGAGTGCCCAAGGTGCTGAAATGTAGTCTGACCTTAGCGCCCATGGGCTAAGCCAGCAGGTGCCAGCACCCTGCAACACTTCCTCACAATGGTCACAATAGCAAATAAGTAATCCTGAGTCAGATTCATACAACAGTAGAATTTTACTTGACTCATTTTAGCACTAGTTCCTAAACTTCAGCTCTAAAGATGTTATTAAGTGGCTTGGAGTCACAAGATGCATATTTTAGTACCAAGTGTCCCAAAAACTTAAATCTACCATGCATAGCAGATACCCTGAGTTTTGAGAAGACTTTAGCCACACCATGAAAAAGAACCTGGACTTCTTTCAGCCTCAGTTTTCTCAGCAGCAAATTACAATAAAAATGGCTTTCTTGCAGATTGTATTGCAAATTAAAATATATAAGTATCTAATAATGTTCCAAGCACAAGGTAAGTAATTAATAAAAGAAAAGCTTTTATTTTAAATGGAAAAAAAATACTAAATACCCAGGAGAAGTTACCACTATTCTGTACCTTAGAAAATGTTCAAAATAACTACTGAGTTGTGTCATTCCCCAAATTCTCTGAGTGCTGGGGGAAAAAAGTTTGGGTTATTGGTTTTCTGTACTCAGAAGTGCACTAGAGAGCAAAACCATTCGTGACAAGTCACTTGGAAAACACCCAAATAGTCTGTGAGATCACATTTCCTCTTATTAAAAAATTACATCCTCAGAACATTTCAGAAGCTAGAAAACTCATCCTCACATGACCCTGGATGTTGTTAATGTGTGAAATTACTGAATTATGCAGTATAACATAAAAATCAGTCACAAATTCTCGAGAAAAACAAGTGAATTTTTTAAAAAATATAAATAACAACAGTAATAGTTCTACTATGGTATGGTGTAGGAAAATAAAAACTAAAAAACTTGAATCCATATGGCTAGTGTCTTAAATCATCAAAAAATAATTAAAACAAGTGAAACCAAACCAGGTTACAGCTACTTATAAGCCTAAATTTAATGAGTTGTGGAAAATGCAATAAACTTAACAAATCACACATTACTATTAATTAATGGCCTGTAAAAGAGTTGCATGTGGCTTAGGCAATAACACTTTTTAGTTTATACTTTAGAAGAAACATTTTCAGTAAGTATGAGATAAATATAATTTATCTCAGCCACTTTTATCTAAAAATTCTGATATTTTCCCTTCATTGTAAGTAATTGTTTAGATTACTTAAAATATATTTCTCAAGTAGTTATATCATTAATTTATATATCATTTGGCAGTTATTTTATATCATAACATATTCATTTCAATATATATATTTTGTTAATAATTTTATAAGCCATGATTTTTTCCTGGTAAAATAAAAAAAATTGATTAAAATCTATAGTATTATAATTTTCATAGTATTTTAAAAATAGATAATATTACACATATATTTGAATTCCTCTTCTGATTCCTGGCATTTTTTTTGTTAATCTGATATACATTTATTGTGTCCCAGTGACTGTTCTTTATTCTTGAGAATTCAAAGATCTCGTCCCAAACTTTCAGACATTTATATTCTTATGAAGACATATGAAAATTTTCTGCATAAAAATTGCTACAATATAACAAGGTATGATGCTATTGAAGCACAGAAGGAAGGAGGTTATAGAGAGGATGCAAAAGAAAAGTTGACATTTGATGCAAACCTTGAATGAATACAAGGTCTCAAGACAAAGAGATGGAAGATGCTTACTCCAGTACCTGTCACAAAATAGGTGTTTTGTTAATATTTGTTACATAGATTAAGGCAGAGGCAACTGATTCCTCTTCATGTAACTGATATCCACTTATTAATTTAATGCATTTTATTATATGCCAATGATTGTTTTTATTCTTAACAGTTCACAAATATTATCTCAGTATTTGAAGCTTTTATACCTTTTAGTGGAAACAAACAGTAATCGTGGTATATGAAAACTGCTTCAAGAGAAGAATGTACACTTTCATGTATTTATATGTGAGTGATTATAAACACAGAAAATATTTTATTGCTTTTTCCATCGGTTTGCTAATGCATTAATGCAATATCAAATCCCCAAAAACTCCGAGGCAAATAATTTCACTATGACACCTATCAAAAGAAGTCGATTTTTAAAATGAATTACTTAGGGAGTTCAGGGAGGGGCTCTTTGAGGAAAATGGTATCAGAGCCGAGATCCTGAGTTGAAAGAGGGAAACATAGGAAGATCCAAGGAATCAGCATGCCAGGCAGCTGAGAAAACAAGACCCTAATGGGCAAGTGGGTTTGTGGAATCGAGGGAAGACTACAGTGCTATAGCAAGTCCAAGGTGGCAGCCAAGGGTAAAAACATCATCTAAAAAGGGTGCACAAATAAGATATGGAGAGGGTTAAGATTAGAATATTACGTGCCAAAAACCTGCAGGACGATAGCAGAGAGTGAGTGGCAGGACGATAGCAGAGAGTGAGTGGCAGGAAGAGAAGGCACAGAAAGGGAGTAGTAATCTGTTAGTATTACTGTTAGTATTACTACAGGATAGTATCTCTTTCATTCTAAGTGTTCAGTTAATATCTGGTAGAAGGATAAATGGATTTCTTTCACTAGTAGAAGACAAAAAAACAAGTATATAAGTGACTATAATATTCTTAAGATTAATAACATTAACTTCAGTAATATTAACATTTTCATACTATTATATATCATGCATTAACAATATGCACCAGACACCATATAAAGCACTTGAGATACATCCGTGAGCGAAGTCCGGATCCCAGACTCAGGGATCAAGCATTAGACTCACATGTCTTTCCCCATATATTTCTTATGACATAAATATTACTTTCATTCCTCAATTACGGATAAGAAAACAACCTGCCCAAGATTCACTCTGTGTACCTTCATACCCCCTTGACTTATTACTGTAAATTCCACTATCCATCTGTTGCCTAACTTCCAAAGAAGCAAATTTTTGAAAGCTCAGATCATACAATTTGAATTGCAATTAAAGCTTGCTTTCTAAACATTAACTGTGAAAGTAGGAAAACGCTTCTTAATATTGCTAGGTATTCAACTTATTTTAGTTTAGGCTAACAACAGCAATAGTAGCTATAAATTTTAGGTGCTAGAAAATAGTTTGAACTAAAGTAGAATATTTGAATATCCCTAATTTCTAAAGGTAGGCCTTCTTTTAAGATGAGTACAACAATTAATTACAATAGGCTGAATTGTTCTTATTTTGGAAGCCAAAACCCAGGTAAATGACATTACTGAGACTTTCACAGTCTTGATGTTCCCGGTTTCTTACTATATATTCACTTCCTCACATCCTAGATACTTCTACCTCATTCCTGTAATGGAAGTGCTACTTTTATATACAACCGTGCTCTATTAATTGACAAATGTTGCTCCTTTATCCCTTTTCCCTGCAAATTAGCTGAATTTGACGTGACTGGCAAATCCTCCTACCTGAAAATCTCTACTCCATTGTGTCCTACGACTATACTAACCAGTTTGTCTACTTCCCATTCTATATTATCTCTCATTGACTTTGTCCTTCTATGGAGAGAAAAGCATCTGCTTTTTTCCATCTCTTTCATTATATTGGGCTCCAGTTTGACGGAAGAAAGAGCAACTCACGTATTTTCTATTTTACTCTTCACTAGGAGAGAGGCCATAAATAGGATAGATATTATTTTCTCTAACACAACAGAAGGCCAACAGCAAACTAATCCTCAGTTTTTGCTTGAGCTAATGTTAATTTCTAAAGTTTATTATGATTAATATTTTATAATAAAGCAATACAAGTTGATGACCTAGATTGCTATTTATACTTTTTAGTGTAATCAAAGCCACCTCTCAACCAAACACACACATATATATACACTTCCCCAGATCGACTTCTCACAATTTATCATCATTAATGTAAATTAATGAAGGTTACATGCCTTTATTAAGCCATTGAGAAAAATCATCTCATTTATTAAATGAGGTTTTAGTAGGTGAAAGTTTCTCTAATGAGCTATTATATTTATGCAAGAATTAAATATCCAATGAGCTGCTTTTCTCTTACTAAGATCCTTTCAAATGTAAATGATGAATCACTGGTTGGCCTTGTGTTTTTCCTGTCATTGTTTACCAGTGATTTACCATTTGAAAAATTAGATATAATTAATAATTAATCAGTAATTACTTTATAAACTAAATAAAAAATATATTTTAATTGAATTTTATAAGAAATAGACAACAAAGTCAGATTTTAGTATAGGAGTTAGTACAGCATACATGGCTGTTTTGTTGTTTTTTCTACTCCTTTGTACAATACTGTGCATTTTGGAAATGAGACAGGCCTACAAAGTCCACATAATCCATGAATGAGAAAAGCAATTCTGTTTTATAGTTATATAGGAAGATGGTAATTTGTCTCCATGTCAGAATCCAGGGAAAAAAAACATCTGTTATAAGCGAAGATGAAGGATATCGCTTTGTGGCCGAAGAGTTTCAATGGACCCTGGGCAAGGACAAAGTTTCAAGTTCAAAAGATCATGTAAAAGTGAATGTATTATTAAATTTTATTTGCCCTTAGCTAGTTGTCATGCTGAAATGTATTTAGCAACATGAAAGGAAGTATCATATTAAATATGATGCAGAGATGCCAGGGTTGTAAACATGGTTAGGTTGACAGTTAATTTGTATGTTTTGTATTTAAATATTCATTTAGTCTTATCCATATTTACTATAGCATACAAGTTATGCTGGAAAAAATATTGTATGTAATTAGATTAAGATTATAAATTTTATATTTCTAGTATTCCTAAATTTTGAAAGCTCAGATAATAAAGTTTGAATTACAGTTAAAGCTTGGCTTCTAAACTTTAACTGTGAAATTAGAAAAATACTTATTACTAGGTATTCAATTTATTTTAGTTTATGCTCACAACAACAGTAGGTATAAATTTTTGATGCTAGAAAATAGTTTGAAGTAAAGTAGAATATTTGAATATCCCTAATTTCTAAAGGTAAGCCTTCTTTTAAGGTGAGTACAACAATCACAATAGGCTGGATTGTGCTTATTTTAGAAGCTAAAACCAAGTTAAATTACATTACTGCGACTTCATTACTGAGACTTCCACAGTCTTGATGTTCCCCTTAATCATGTATGACCTGATAATATTTATAGTCAAATTACATGAATTCTATTTATTTTATATCACCTGTAATTAGGACTATTTTGAGTTTTACCTACACATAATAAAACCAATATGAAGTCCTCAACATAATATGAAACTACATATTGCTTGAATTATTGGAAAAAAAAATTCAAATGAAAGTCATGCATGAAAGTTGGCATGCATCTTCTCTTTGTATCATTGTATCGGCATAATCAGTGTGCTTAAGTTTACCACCAGCCTTGTGTGAATACACTGTTGAATAGATTTTAAGAAAGCATGACCTACAAAAAATACTTCGGAATACATCTAACCAAGAAGGTGAAAGATCTCTCCAAGGAGAACTATGCAACACTGCTGATAGAAATCTCCAGATGACATAAACAAATGAAGGGCCAGGTGTGGTGGCTCACGCCTGTAATCCCAACACTTTGGGAGGCTGAGGCTGGCGGATCACGAGGTCAGGAGATTGAGACCATCCTGGCTAATACAGTGGAACCCTGTCTGTACTAAAAATGCAAAAAAAATTAGCCAGGCTTGGTGGTTGGCGCCTGTAGTCCTACCTACTCAGGAGGCTGAGGCCAGAGAATGGCGTGAACCTGGGAGGCGCAGTTTGCAGTGAGATGAGATTGCGCCACTGCACTCCAGCCTGGGCGACAGAGCGAGACTCCGTCTCAAAAAAAAAAAAAAAAAAAAAAATGAAGACATATTCCATGTTAATGGAATAGAAGAATCAATATCATTAAAATGCCCACACTGCCCAAAGTAATCTACAGATTCAACACTATTCCTATCAAACTATTGGTATCATTTTTCACATAACTAAAAAAAAATTCTAAAATTCATATGTAACAACAACAAGAAAAACATTCAAATAGCCGAAGCAATCCTGAGCAAAAATAACAAAGCTGGAGGTATCACAGTACTTGACTTCAAACTACACTATAAGGCTATGGTAACCAAACAGCATGGTACTGGTACAAAATCAGACCAATGGAACAGAATAGAGAACACAGAAATAAAGCTGCACATCCACAGCCATCAGATCTTCAACAAAGTTGACAAAATTAAGCAATGAGGAAAGGATTTACTAACCAATAAATGATGCTGGGATAACTGTCTAGCTATAGGCAGAAGAATGAAATTGGACCTCTACATTTCACCATATACAAACAACAACTCAAGAAAGATTAAAGACTTAAATGTAAGACCTATAGCTATAAGAATCCTAAAAGAAAACCTATGAAACACCATTCTGGACACTGGCCTCAGGAAAGAATTTATGATTAAGTCCTCAAAAGCAAATGCAACATAAGCTAAAATTGACAAGTTACACCTAACTAAACTAAAAATCCTCAACAAAAAAAAAGAAACTGTCAAAAGAGTAGAAAACCTACAGAGTCAGAGAAAATATCTGTATACTACACCTCAGACAAAGGCCTAATATTCAGAATCTATAACCCCATTAAAAATGAGTGAAATACATGAACAGACATTTCTCAAAAGAATACAAACAAGCAGCCAATAAACATATGGAAGAAGTACTCCACATCACTAATCATCAGAGAAATGCAAATCAAAATCACAATGAAATACCATCTCACACCAGTCAGAATGGCTATTACTAAAATATCAAAAACAACAGATGTTGGCGAGACTTTTGAGAAAAGAAAACAACTTGTACACTGTTGATGGGAATGTAAATCCATTCAGCCACTGAGGAAAGTAGTTTAGAGATTTCTCAAAGAACTTAGAATTACCATTCTACCCAGCAATCTCATTACTGGGTATATAACCAAAATAAAACAAACAGTTCTACCAAAAAGACCCATGCACTCACATGTTCACTGAAGCACTATTCACAATAGCAAAGACGTGGAATCAACCTAGGTGCCCATCAACAGTGGAGTGGATAAAGAAATATGGTACACATATACTATGGAATACTACATAACTATAAAAAAGAATGAAAGATGTCTTTGAAGCAACATGGATGCAGCTGGAGGCCATTATCCTAAGCAAATTAATGCAGGAACAGAAAATCAAATACCACACGTTCTCACCTGTAAGTACGAGATAAATAATGGGTACATGTGGATACAAAGAGGGCAAAAACAGAAACTAGAAACTATTAAGTGGGGTTGGGGGGAAGGCTGAGAAACTAACTACTGGGTTCCATGCTAAGTAACTGGGTGATGGGACCACCCGTAACCCAAACCTCAGCATCATGCAATGTACCCAGGTAACAAACCTGCACATAAACCACTGAATCTAAAATAAGAGTTGGGAGAAAATAAAAATAATCAATTGAAAATAAAAAAGGATGGCCTAAATGTGCATATGTACATCAGATATATTACATACGTTAAGTTCAGTAATCTGAGCCGTGTGACCATAAAGAGGATATATGATCCTTTTCAGTTCAATAGTCTGATCTCAAAATTAGAGATTGTGAGAATACTAAGCATAATCTCAGGATGGTTCAGATGATTTAGAGATCAATCACATGCATAACATCTACAAACATTAGGAGATTTTATCTTTTAGTTTCTTAAGAGATCTAGACACAGAGTCAGGTAAAGAAAGATAAATGTTTGTTTCATCTCCATTTAACTATGCTACTTTGAGCAAGTTGGTTACCTCCTTCAGGCACAGTTTCCTAATGTTCAAATGTTTAGAAATGTAAATAATGCCTAATTTGTAGGATTTTTTGAAGTTCAAATGAAGGTAAATGCAAAACATTCACCTGAGTGTCTAGAACATAATAATCACTCAATAAATCTTATCAATTATTATTAGCATTGTCATTAATGTTTAAATTTAATCTAAATGTCTGACATTTTTAAAAATCGTGCAAGTTGGTAATAATATTTTATTGTAGCTTCTATTTTATGAGCAAAGCCTTTTTTTTTCATTTCTAAAATGAGGTAAATCAATTAAAATATTTTTATAACATCTTAAGAAATAACTTTAAAAAAACTCTCGAAAACACAATATCACTAAATTAGATGAATAAAACTTTTGCCACAGAATCTTTCTAAAGGTAAGCACATTTATTCTATTTCTCATGAGGGTTTTAAATAAATGGAGGATAGGGAAACATTGATAGCTTTGGCAACTGTTAGTATTCTTATAATGGAATTTAGGAAATAGAGGTCAAGTTACTAGGCCTGCTTGCATATTGGTGCACAGAGACATAGAGATTTTCTTTAATAAACATCCTAGTTCCATACCAGACATTATACAATTTTTTATTTTGGTAATTTAATGACTGTTCAAAAATTCCATGAATTATAATTTAAATAAGTCTGTAATGGTTGTGATTTCTTAGGTGGATGATTTACTATGTTTATGAAAACAGAATTGATATAAATGACCTCGTGATGCTCTTTACTGACAGTTTATAGACACATTTTTGGTTATTCTGTTGTGACAGATGTGATCCTTTGAAAATGCTATTTAATTTCCTGTGAGCTAGGAAAGACAATTCTCTAAATTCATCCACCTATTAAGAGGCGTGACATAAACACTTTCATTTTTTTCTTATAATTGCCTGGAAAACAAGATCTTTAAAAACCTGACTGAAAGAGGTAACTTTTTTTTTGCTGGATATTTTGACATGAATTATGGCAGTGGCACTGGGTAGACACTTTAAGCACTGGCAATTCAAACAGAATAACATTTGCACATACATTTTCAAAAAACTTAACACGTTTTGTTGCTTGGTTTGATAAATTCTGTCACTATATCCTAAGTTTACAACCCAATGACACTATGAAACGGATAGGAAACTTTTATTGCCACGGAGATCAATAAAGAGATATTGCTAGAATTATAGAACTATATTTAAAAAGGAAAGTCAGAGAGTTTTCTTCTCTCTGCACTTAGGATCACATCTAAAATCAGTTTTTTTAAAAAGGTAACTTTCCTATATTTTTCGGGGGTATCTTAGTTTGCTTCAGACATCGAATATGATATGTAAGATATTACCAATAGTATGCAAAATTATGAGTACAAATATTATTACTGCATTAAAATGGTTATTAACATTTGTATTGATATTAACATTAATTCTATTCAACATAGTTATTAATATTCATTTTCAATGTAGCAATTATTTGACTATCATCTATTTGGGGGCCTTATAATCGATGAAGTATTTCTGCATAAATTGTATGATTTGATTCTCTATTGCAATTGTTAAAGATGGCTCTGTATGTTCCTCCTAAGAAATCATTCTTCTCATAGGTGTCATAAGGGAATTCTTTTTGAGGGTAGTGGCTACTGTGGTACTGGAGGATATTTTATTAATTCACTTATCACGCCAGCATTCACCAAGTGTTGACTATGATCTTACATGTTAGAGGTAGGTTATTAAACTAAAATAAAGAAATAAAAAAGACATGAAATCTGCCCTCAATGAGTTTATAGTCTAATAAAGTCAGTGGTGTGCTTGGAATGGCTTCAGCCATTGTTTTAAATAGTTGTAATGAAATGTCACCAGAAATAAATAAAGGAATCATATGAGACAAAGGGAGAGACAGACAGAAAGACAGAGACAGAGAGAGAGGAAGAGAGGGAGGGAGGGAGAGAGGGAGGGAGGGAGAGAGAGAGGGAGATAGAGATAGATAGAGAGAGAGGGAAGGAGGGAAGGAGGGAGGGAGTAACAGGGAGAGGAAGACAGTCAGAGAGACGTGGGTTATTGAACAGTTGCCCAGCAGGCAGAGAAAACATGATATAAAGACATGATATCATAAATGAGCATGAAATACTTTTAGGACTATATATATAGTTTACGACAGCCTAATAATTATAGAGAAATCTGGAAAAATGACAGAGTCCAAATAATAAATGGTCTTGAGGCCATTTGTAGGAGTGTGAACTTTATTGGGGTATGGTAACCATTTCATAAGCCATTAACCCTGTCCCTATGGATATGAATAGATTTAGACAAAGAGCTAATATTTTTCATTGTTTTAGCTTTTCCGACCCAAAGAGCACTATGTGATCAATGTGTTCTCAAATATTTAGTCTTCCAACAGATTCAAGAATAAAGTGCACAGTGCTACTCCATACTTGCCCCTTAAGTCCCATGGAATGAGCAGAACATCTCTCTGGCATACAGAAGTTACTCTGATCACATCTGAGGCTACACTTAGACTATAGGCACCACAAACATAACTTCCAGGGGTACCATTTTAAACAACTTCTTGTAGAATAGATTGAAAGTCCACTGTCTGAGGGTATTCTAAGAAAGTTGTGAAAGATAAGGTGTATCTAATCTGAGCCTCTCTACACAGACTCATACAGCATCATTTATAATTTGAACCAAGGCTGACACTGCAGTTAGCTGAAGAGGACTTGAACTTTAAAAAAGCTCTGTAAAAAGCAGAAGATGACTTGTTAGAATTTACCGGGAGAAATTCCAGCTGTAGCCCTAGAAATTGCCCAAAATACTGAATTAGACTCAAAACAAAAACAAAACAGAACACTGCAGAAAGCTCACCTAGGAACTGAGGCCATGAATTCACAGGTGCTAAAGCCCTTCTGCACAACACGTAGGTAATTAGTGAGCCTTCTTAGAAAGAATTGTTATCCTCTTACTTCTCTCTGCATTTTTTAAAATGGGAAAATTATCAGTTTAGCCTAACCATCATGAGACTTTTTCACTGGATGTTAGAGAATTATGGAAAGAGTATATTGGTTTCTAGTTTTATTATGATAATAGTTGTATTTTATTGAAAAAAATTCTAAGGATATGAAATGAAAATTAGTTCTAAAGAATGAAGAAAATATTTCTAGAAATTGTATACCTTCCTGGCTGATATAAAAATGGTTTACTTAGTTTAAGCTTATAGGTCAAGATGTGAGAGTGCAGACTCTAAATTTTTCTAGTTTGACATAATATTTACAATGCTGACTATATTCCATATGGCAGAATATTTCCCTGGAAGAAGAAAATCTAGAGGATCTAGATACCTTACTTGGAAAGGAGAAATTCATTTCACTAATCAGACTCTGTTTTCTAATTTCAGCCTCATCCTCTAGATGGACTCTCTTCTTTCTACTACTAAAGACCACCATGGTTTCAGTCTCATGTCATGTCCATGAAGCTGTGTTGTTCACATCTTCATTCCTGTTATGGCCAAAATCAATATTCATTATGATACCTAGTACTTTAATTTGAGGACTATATAGAGTTTAGGATAGCCTCATAATTACAGAGAAAGCTGGAAAATGGTTTGCCTTGGATTATGATTTCTGTTTCTATCATACTGAACTTGGCCTTTAAAGGTCTCAAAACCCAAAGTTTTGTTGTTGTTGTTGTTTGTTTGCTTTTGTTTTTCTGAGAAAGAGTTCACTCTACTGCACAGGCTACAGTGCAGTAGAGTGATCATAGCTCACCTAGTACTCCCGGGCTCAACAGATCATCCCACCTTAGCCTCCCAAGTAACTGGGACCATAGTCACAAACTGCCACGTCTGGCTGATTTTTGTACTTTTGGTAGAGATGAGGGCTTGCCATATTGCCCAGGCTGGTCTTGAACTCCTAGCCTCAAGTGATCTTCCTGCCTCAGCCTCTCAAAGTGCTGCAACTAGAGGTGTGAGCCACAGCACCTGGCCCAAAGGTCTTTTTTGAGAGTTACTTTAGCATGTGATATCAGTCCCCACTTTAAACTTTGAACATCATTTGTATTATACTCTATTTTATTGCATCATCCTTTCTTCTCTCTTTCACTAGCTTCTTTCTTTCTACCTTTATTTTGTCTCTGTGAGAGAAACACATATATTCCTGAAGTTTAGGTCTGTTGTCTTTTTTCCTAGCACAAATTGTCGTTGGTGAAACATTTCCATGGTTTTATTGAGTCTCTCAACATGTTTTGTGGCCAGTTCCCATCTGCCTTTCCTGAGCACCAACAAATATTTTTAAATGTTGGGTATTTTCTCCTGAAAGTCAGAATAAATCTATCTCAGACTAAACTTACTTATTCTCCCAGAAACCTACATTCCTTATCTGTGTGACTTGATTATGTACTGGCATTATAAATTGTTCAATAGAATTGATCAAGCTCAGAATCTTGATGTCATTCTAACTCCTCCATATGTTTTTATACTCCCACCACCACCTATTCATTCACTTACAAATTCTCGTTTATTTTCAAGCCTCCCACAGAGGGAGAATTCAAGCCCTTTTTACCTGGAATATTAAAATGACCTCCTAATGTGACTTTCCCTACAGAGTTCTCTGGATACATATTCCTAAGGCAACATTCTTATTCTTTGGTGTCCTCTGTATACCCGTAGGGCAAATTACAAACTTCCATGCAATTAATGTAAGCCATCAAAGATTTATGTAGGGGTAACCTAGTCAGAATTGTGTTTTGCATAGATAATTCCAATAAGCAATACAGAGGGAGTATAGTGGGGCTGGAGTAAAGAAGAAAAATGTTAGGAAATAGAAAAAGTGGTCAGGTATTCCAGGTAGGCAAGGAAATTTATATGAAATAGAATGGTTTGTACTGATTTTGCTAGCCTCAAGCACTATTAATATGTCCATTGCTCACTATAGGCTAACACCCAGAACAATGTCCTAGAGGGATCAGATAATGAGTAAATTCTACATGCATACATTAATTACAGACATGCAAAACAAAAATGTAATGCAAAGTATGTTTTGAGTTGAACAAGGCAGTATTATAAAGATTTTAAGTAGGAAGTTTGATGTTAGATTTGATTTGGAGCTACTGTTTTATTACTTACTAGCTGTGTGGCTGAAGAAATACCTTGACTTCCCTCAGCTTCATTTTTTTTTTCTCCACTTATACATTAGGTCAATAATAGAACTTCCTTCATCAAATTGATGTGAGGATTAAAGGGGGTGGTGGTGCATCAAATATGTTTAGCAGTTGGCCTACAATTTAAATGTTCAATAAATTTTACTATTACCATGTTATTTTAAAATATATATAAAGCCGGGTGCAGTGGCTCAGGCCTGTAATCCCAGGAGGATCACCTAAAGTTGGGAGTTCCAGACCAGGCTGACCAACATGGAGAAACCCCGTCTCTACTAAAAATACAAAAAATTAGCCAGGCATGGTGGCGCATGCCTGTAATCTCAACTACTCAGGAGGCTGAGGCAGGAGAATCGCTTGAACCTGGGAGGCGGAGGTTGCAGTGAGCCGAGAATGCACCATTGTGCTCCAGCCTCGGTAACAAGAGTAAAACTCCGTCTCAAAAAAATATATATATACAAATAATATATATACGTATATATATTACATATACACACATACCTGCTACATATATATATTCACACACACATCTATAGCTCTATGTATATCTATGTAAGTATCAATTATCCGTCTATCTATTCGTTACACATGAAACATAGCAACATTTAGCACTTGGTGTGGAATAAAGTCAATGCATAATAATTGTTGTTTCTTTGACTCAGGTGTAATTAAGTCTGCAAGATCTCCGGGGTACTACATATTCTGTTCTGACTTGTCCCTCAGTGAAATATTTTACTGTGGAATGAAATGATCTTAGAATAGTCTCTATCTGCCCCTTTATTTATACTGCCCCTTTGTTGATACTTTTTTGTACTATATTGGTGTCTTTATACTCAAGAAGATCATAAGTCATCCTGATATTTTGCTGTTTTATCATGATATGTTGCTATTTTATCATGTTAACCTGACACAATTAAGTGAAATTTAAAATGTCTATTGTTCTTTAGTGCTTTGGAATCTCCTATGCTTGGGAAAGGTCTCCACAAACACTCTACTAAGGATTAAGGACAATTAATTAAGTAAATGTGCTTGAGCATTAAAGGTCAGAAGATGTATACAGTCCCTGATCCTTGTTACTTTACAACTTGAATGAAGAACTGACTTTGTGAATTCCTAAAAGCAAAACAAAAGAGCACTATGATAAAATATACCCTGTGCCAAGCCAGGAAAATGGAACCATTTTGTTGCAGGTCATCTGTCACATAAAGACAGAGTTATTCATGATTTTCATACATAATGAAAGTACCTGTTTGGTTGTACTTGAATTAAAAAAACTTGCAAATTTATGATTTATGTAAAAGAAATAAGAGTGTGAGGGTAGTCTAAAACAGATTTCAACTTTTATTCACTCTTCATAATTTGCTTTAAAAGTATAAAATTAGGCTGGGTATCTTGGCTCATGCCTCTAATCCCAGCATTTTGGAAGATTGAGGCAAGAGGATCACTTGAAACCACGAGCTCAAGACCAGCCTGGGCAAATAGCTAGACACCATCTATACAGTATTTTAAAGTAAATCATAAAATTATGTATTTTTGATTTTTAAATTGTTTCCTCTGAACTTAATCCAATAATCCATACTGTATTTTGCCAAGGGATTACACACTCACAGTTACTGTATCTATTATGACCAAAGTAATTATACTTTTAAAGAAACACTTAAACATTATTTTATTGTGAGTTGTGATTTCCTTAAAAAAAGAGTCATTTGTATATGGAAGATAAAGTTACAAACACTAATTTATTTTGTAATAACATCTAATAATTTTACAACTAGTAAATTCATCCATGTCAATCTGACTCATTCAGATTAATATTCAAATGATTTAATAAAGTTATTATAGGCTAAGCCTCAGAGACTAATGAAATAAAGCTTTGCATATACTGTGGAGTTTGGGATTATTCAAATCATTTTATTAGGTATTAAACACTACTAGTAAAATGTGGTTTTAAACTCTAAGGTCAATTTTACCTTAGGAGAAAAAGTTATGAAAAAAGCCAGAGAAGTAATTTTTGAGTTTTATATGAAAATGAAAGGTTAAATTAAAGGGCTTAAATCCAAAGCCTAAAAAGTCATATAATCTCTCAAAGAGTTAAGTAGGTTATTTTAATCAACTGCTTCAAGGAAAACTAATGGAATATTCTGGATCTAAATCACTAAATGCGCTGAAAAGCAGTATGTTCAAATTTAGATAGGAACTATCAATTTACCAAGAATTGCATATAAAGGTATTTTTGAAGTAAGAGACAGCATAAGGAGATTTTATTCCTGATTCATTATATGTTTGACTTTCTGGCATCAATTATTTCTAAAAATCCCAACTGTGGAGAAACTGCTACGAGCTTTGGATTTCTGAAGGATGTTTGCAAAGTGTGAGAGTGACAAAGTTTTATATGGTGTATTCTTGCTTGTCACTGAAGAGAAATCACTACAGTAGCTGAGGAAATTATCCTCATGACAAACATAAGCTTCAGGAATAAAATATCTTTTGTCAAAAATAATCTCATTGATAATCAGTAATAATCATCCCTAGGAAATCACTCCAGCTTTGCGCTTATGTTTTTAATTTTAACCTTAAAAACCAGTTCATTAACACAGCTTCTCCACCTCATTAATTTTTACTACACCCTTGTGAGGGTTAGGTTTATTAATGCTAAACTAAGTGTTAACACTAACTAAGCTGAACCATGTTTATATATAAATATTTATTTATGGGAGAATTTAAAATGAAGTTCCTCATGGGTAGACATTTAAGCCCATGAGGCAGGTTGGGGGTGGATGAACCACTACAGAGCAGCTGCTAAATCTGTTAGTTGTCCAAATCAAAATTAGAAAAAAAAATTAATCAGTGAATAAAGTGAATGGCTTCATGATTAAATTCTAGTTCCGGTTAAGGAAATTTTTGGCTTTATGTCAAGCTAATTAAACTTGCTATTGAATTGAAGTAGGGATGCTGTAGGGGTTGCAATAAAAAGCCTCAAACAAAAAATTTTTATGAAAATTTGTCAAGAGTAGATTTGTTTCTTTGAGGAAGTGTTGGGTGTGCAGGGGAAATAGATTCTGTTAGATTCCTTTACATGTTTTTCTTTCTTTCTTTTGCTCTGACCACCAGGGAAATATTTGTTTCACTTTATGGTCTGTACTACCTTGACCTGTTATAAGGTACATTTTTTCCTAGGACTATATTTACTTTATTACACATGTATCTTGAGCATATATCTTACACAGCAAGTAAAAAAAAATCACCTTTCGAAAGAGGTAAACATTAAATATGTTAATAAAGTAACATTATTATACAAGCATACATTTGCTATTTCATATTTGTAAATATATTGGGTGACAAATGAATAGAAATGAAACTTTAAAAACAATTTAATTTGCTTTATACTTGCTTAATTTTTCCAAATGCTATATATAATTTTATTTTTGCTACATCACCAGATATTAATAAAAGGTGTCAATACTCAGTTCCTTGTCATCATTTTCTGCGAAAGCTAGGACCTATGATGATATCAGCTTTTGACAATAGCTGCAGTTATCTTTGTCCTGTCTCAAATTCATTTAGAAAATGTAGCTTTCTAGGTCCTCACTGTATGTTATTCAATAAATAAATTATGAGGAAAAGGTTTTATTAAAAGAAAAAATATGTTAGTAAGAAAGAGTGATTACACATCAAAATTACTATAAGCCCAAAATTCCAGATCTGGAAAGAAACTCAATGTCTCCTAAACTGTTAAACTTCTGTAAGGAAAATTAAATAAGTGGTTTTAAACTAAATCTGAACAATGAGAAGAAATGCAGAACACTATGATTGCATGCTTATTTTCATTACTAATATTAATTTTTGTTACATAGGTGTTAATAAATTCTAAAATGATGACTGAGGAAGCAAGCATGTAAGATTTTTAAAAAGATTCCAATTTAATTAAAGTTTAGAAAAAGAACTTCTGAAGTCAAATTGGCTAAGTCAAAAAAGAAATCCAATACACATTTATACTGGAATAGGGAAAGATTGAGTACTATTAGGGTTAAATTAGAGTTATCATCTGAAAAATGAATTTACATTTTACAACATGAACAAATCGTATGTTGGTTATGAGGATAAAATGAGTTAATGTATTTGAAACAGAGCATCGTCTGCAACAAAAGCATTCAGTAAATACAAGCTGTCAATGTGAGCTTGAGACATTCAAAACCTATTTTTAAAAAATATTTTTTACTATCTGGTTTAGCAATAATGTTATCCTACCTACCACCAGAACTTATTTGGTGCTATCTAATATGCACCTGCAGCACCTAGATTTTAGTCTCTATGACATTACACTCATTGAAAAGCAGGTAAATCTATGCCTGACAAGGGGTTGGGAGCAGGAAGGCAAGCTGTTATTAGTGGAAAGGCAGAACATTTTAAAATATATTTCTGGTTAATAAGAGTACTCCTAGCATTAAGGGAGTGTCAGTATACTAATTATGCATATGTGTATATATATACTAATTATGCATATATATATATATGTTGAATCTGCAAAAAGCCATGTGACTTTAATGATACTAAAAATCAAAGTTTTCTTTGAAAATATGTAATTTTCATGCAAAAGAAAGAAAACTTCGATGATATATCTTTACATTTTATTATATTTAATATTTATCTTATCACAATAAATATGTATAATAATTGTTAGTATATGGATAATTTGATATTATGTTAGTATATGGATAACTTAATTCTTCAATTAAGTATATACCTATTATAAAATACAAATTAGTACCTTTTTTATGAATATAATTAGGAGAGCCCCATCCTACGTTTATTAAACACTGTTCAACAAGTTATAGAATCACACAATTTCAAGCAAAGTTGTCAAATTTTAAAAGGCAAAAAGTAAAAGGTGAAGATTTAGAAAGTATCATTGATATAACAATAATAATGGTTAATCACCAAAGTGAACTGGTCTGTTAAACAGATCTCGAATTTGAAAGAGGCAATCAAAACTCATTTGGTTGGTACCTCAAAAATAGACTTTGAATTGGGTAATACAGTCCTCCTTCATGTTTGACTTTAGAAGATCCTGATAGCACTAGCCCAGCATAAAAATAATCTAAAAAGGTATTTTACAACATATGATAAAATTAAAGTGTAAAAGGTAAAAATAAGTATTCAATAAAACTATTATAAACTGAGTAACATATGCAAATATGCCTCAAGAATAGCTACAAAGTGGAATTATAAGTACTGTATCAGTGAAAAGTTTTGCAATCATTTTGACGATTTATAAATTTAGTCTGATTTTAAAACATTTAATAAATTTAAGACTCATATTCAATATTTAATAAATGTTTAACAAAATTGGATTAAATATGCTTTAATCATTATCTCAGTCGATTAAATATATTAATTTTGAAATATTAGTTGTATAATGAATATTTATATTTTTAGATAAATAAAGCCTGGTAGATATAAAATATTTTAGCTTTAAAATGTGACAAAAGTAATAAGCATTCCTCCACAAAAATCCTTTCAGACATTAAACACTCCAGCAACAGTGAGTATATTCTATTAAATATATTGACCTACAAGCCTGGTCTTCAGAAAATCTCAATGTAAAGGAAAGTTGCCAACCGAATTTTTTGTTTGTTTTGTTTTGTTTTGAGAAGGAGTCTCGCTTTGTCGCCCAGGCTGGAGTGCAGTGGTGTGATCTCGGCTCACTGCAAGCTCCGCCTCCCGGGTTCAAGCGATCTCCTGCCTCAGTCTCCCTAGTAGCTGGGACTACAGGCATGTGCCACCAGGCCCGGCTAATTTTTTGTATTTTTAGTAGAGATGGGTTTCACCGTGTTCGCCAGGATGGTCTCGAACTCCTGAACTCGTGATCCGCCCGCCTCGGCTGCCCAAAATGCTGGGGTTATGGGCGTGAGCCACCGCGCCCAGCCTGCGGACTAATTTTTCAAGTTTCACCTTGCCTTTGTGTTCTTTCACTTCATTTCAGGAACCCCTTTTCTTTTTTCTCCCCAACTTCCTACCTCAGTTTCTCTCCCTAATCTTTGAACGATTCTGAGTCCCCGAATCCTATAGCACCCAAACTCCCATCCAGGTATACTGGTAGGTTAATCAAATCTTCATCTTTTCTCCCTACTGCCCATATTTGCATTTATTTTCAAAGATAAACTGGAAAAATAGATGAAACTACATCTATGGGACTTCATTGTTTCAATATCATAGGAATAAGCATAATGGCATCTAGGTGGAGAAACAATTTTGAGGCAGAATTGGTCTTCCCTGGGTAACTGTCTGCTTTAACCAGGTACCTTGTGGGTTTTTATGCGTATGTAGCCAATGACCTGAGTTTGGTGGAAAGTAGAGAGGGGCAGAGTCATAAGGTGCTACCACTGAATACCTATGTAAGCCCATAATGCTTAAGTTAAAAATAAGCAGATATTGCTCTAAATCAAGTTGAAGACAGCTTCATGCTAAATAGGTAAGATACTTTAGATAAACAGTATTTCCCATGCCTGGTCATTGAATTGTAAACGCTGCTGCCAAAGTCATCACTTCAGATGAGTGTATTTGACAACTATGTTTGGTCTTTCCAGAAAACCTAGGACAGTCATATGGATATGTAAAATAAATAGCTTTCTGCTCTAAACGCATGCAGAAAAAAGTTGGCATGATTTGCTTCCACAAAGGGAAAAACAACTGACATACAGGCTATAGCTAACTGGTATACCTTGTATCAAATACTGTAGACCAAACTGTAAGGTATAAGCCACTAATATTTGTATAGCATATTTTCTTGATATTCTGCATCTATCTTGAAAAGACTATTGAATAAAGGAGCTATTATGAGGGTTATTTATTTAGTTTATTAGGCTACTTGATTAATTGTGCATAATGTAAAGTATTAGGTTCTGTGATACACCACATAATATTTTCCAAAATAAAAAAGAATCTATTTAGGCTGCTATCTTGGTGTCTTTGGCCTATGTAAATGTACCTATCTGAATTCCTTAGGCAAATCTACTTTAAAATATGATATTTACATTTTTCTAGGACCTATCTCGGTACTCTTCAAACTGTATTTATTATCAATTCTTTATTCTTTCCTTTTCTATTTCACACTTCTTTAATAGGGTGTCTGAATTCTGGGTTAATTAGAAATGATACCTGGGAAAGATTACATAGAGAAATATCAATTATTACATTCTTCCAGGTGTAACTTTAATTTAAAAATCATTTCATGATCTCTTATGTAGCCACTACAATTACACTTTAATTATTAATATAAAGATTCCTAGTCTTTCTCAGTATTTTTTAGAGATTCTATCCTCAAGAACTTAATTTCAAGTAGGATTACTTATTAAGGAATAATAATAAAAGGTTTTACCTATTAGCCTATTTTTAATTTATTGTAAGCTCTCATTATAAGTAAAATAATTTCAAGAGTTTTTAAGAACATATTTAGTTAATTATATATACACACTTCTTTTTTTTTTTTTTTTTTTTTTTGAGACAGATCCTCACTCTGTCGCCCAGGCTGGAGTGTGGTGGCGCAATCTCGGCTCACTACAACCTCCACCTCCCAGGTTCAAGCAATTCTCCTGCCTCAGCCTCCCAGGTAGCTGTGTCTACAGGCACCTGCTGCCTCACCTGGCTAATTTTCATTTAATCAGGTGTATTATCTACTTTAGAAATGTTTATATTCGTGTGTGTGTGTGTGTGTGTGTGTGTGTGTGTCTATGTCCGTATAGCCACATACAATATCTTTTTTGCAATACGAAAACTGGGACATCTAGGAGATATAGTCAAAATCTAAAATATTAGCATTTCAGAGGTATTTTTTGTTACCTGGCTATAAGCAGAAGTTTTAGAATATGCTATCTTATATTCTTAGAAATCCATAGCAAATGGTGACTATAGTAGTTAGTAGAATTATAGATATCTTAAAAAGGAGATGGAGAGAATCCGATTTCAAAAGAAATTTGGATTATCATTTTTTTTTCTCATAGGAAGCTTAATTTGAACTCAAAGACTTGAAAATAACACATAAAAAGTGGTGGGTTTCAAAATAGACTGTTATGAATTCTAAAACTTTATCTACTTTCATGAAAAGGACTTCAACCTGTCAGGCTAGTTTATCAAGTTTATTTTGAGGACAGCAAATCTTTTAGAAAATTTCAAAATATCCCAAGAAGGGCCGGGCGCGGTGGCTCACGCCTGTAATCCCAGCACTTTGGGAGGCCGAGGCGGGCGGATCACGAGGTCAGGAGATCGACACCATCCCGGCTGAAACGGTGAAACCCCGTCTCTACTAAAAATACAAAAAATTAGCCGGGCGTAGTGGCGGGCGCCTGTAGTCCCAGCTACTTGGGAGGCTGAGGCAGGAGAATGGCGTGAACCCGGGAGGCGGAGCTTGCAGTGAGCCGAGATCCCGCCACTGCACTCCAGCCTGGGCGACAGAGCGAGACTCCGCCTCAAAAAAAAAAAAAAAAAAAAAAAAGATTTGAGATCTTAGGCTTTTCTTTCCTGAACTAAATTTTAAAAATCCATACTGTATATACACACTATATACATATATATAGAAAAATCATATATTTTACTCACAGGCAAACTGCAGTGTAGCTTCTCTACTAAGAATACTCCCCACAGTGTTGGTTGCTAAACACTGATAATGACCAGAATCCTTTGCTTCACTTGGATTGCTTATAATGAAGGTGCCATCTATCAAACTGTAGCGATAATCACTTTCCAGATCTATTTCTGTTCCATTTCGAAGCCATCTTAGGAAAAAATCAGAAGACAAATATGTATAATCCTCCCTGAGAGTGTCAGAATATCATTGATGGAAAGTTTTTAAGGCTTAAGAAAAATGATTAACAGTGAATTCCTACCTGTAACTGGGAACTGGATTGCCACGAACTTCACAATTCAATGCTACCTTCTTTTCATCAGAATCAGTTGGAAAAATAATATCATCTGGTTCTTGCACAAAAACTGGCCCATAGTCCACACTTTCTGTAAAGACAAAACAGACACATTTTAAATTTCCTTAAACTAGCAAGATATTTTGTGTTTTTTTCTTTTCCATCTTACTTATATTCAAAATTCTTGCTCTTTTCTTGTAATCAACAGGTAAATTCCCAAAAGAAGGAATAGCTAGAAAACTGCATTGTTTTATTAAATTGTAAAGAACCAAATATAATTTTTAATCAACTAAAAATGCTGTTAAACGTGTAATACATAAAAAACAAACCTCAGACATTTATATTTTAAATATATATCTTTGTTTTCATTTTTCAAAATCAGACTGAAGGATAATAATATTAAGCATAAACAATATCTTAAAAAACCTGAAAGTTTGTAAAATTCTTAGAATGTTAAAAATAATACACACGCAAAAGTAATATATTAATATTGTGTCACTACTTAGGTGCTACAGGTATGAAAATATTAGTCCTCTTGCATTTTTTTATATTCTTCATTAATTCACTGAAGCACTACATTTAGTGCTAACAATTCTGGGGTGTAAAAAAATGATGTAACATGCATAAAGGTATTTTCATGGAATAAATAAGACATGCTTTCAAAAAAAGACAACTTAATTAAAATGGCAAAACTTTATACAACTAAATAGTCAATAAGATCAGAAGACAAAAGGCATAAAAGGAAGTGGAGGCCAGTGGGAAGAGCACATAAATTTATTGCCTACTATATACCAGACACTCGATTCTATTTTAGTTAGCTAATACTCAGAGAAATTCTGTGTGTGATAAAAGTAATTTGAAGCTAATGAAAATTTCATGAAGAAAGTGAAACTAAAAATGGACTTCAAATGTCAACTTGGACTTGAGTTTTAGACCAAGTCAGCTGGAGAAATGATGAGCAAATGTACAGAGGATAATACAAGTTATGTCAGCCCACAGTTACGTAAGCATTCAGAGCATCGTGTGCGTATCTAAGATCTATAGCATAGTGAATTGTGAATTTGTGAAAAAGTAAAGCTTTTTTTGCTTAATTTTCATTGATCATGAATTTGATCACATAATAGCCCTAGATCAGGTTTCTCAGTCTCTGTACCATTGATGTTTTGGGACAGATCTTTCTGTTGAGGCGGGGCTGTCCTGTGCATTGTAGAATGGTTAGCAGCATCCGTGGCCTCTACCCACTAGATTCCAGTAGCATCTCTCTCCAATGTGTAATAATAAAAAAGGTATCCAGACATTGTTATATGTGCTCTAGGATCAAAATGACCCTTGTTAAAAACTACTGCTACAGATAAAGAGAAATTATTTCAGTAAAGACATAGTTCCAATATATGTATTAAACAGAAGTTTATATCTTTTGCAGATAATCACAAGAAAATATTCAGAAAAAAAGTATAAAAATAAATGTTCCAGGAAATTTGAGCTAAAAAAAAATTCTGGGAAAAGATGTACACCTTATATTTAGAAGAACAAATTTGGAGTAAAATGATTTGCTTTCTTTAAATATATTTCTTTAAATATTTTGTCTTGGCGAAGTAAAACAAAAGTTTTCACAGTATTCTAAACCAAATAAAAATTGAGCAGTCACTATGAGCATGTACTGACGAGTATTTTCTTTGAATCCTAGATAACCTAGATGCAAGTTTTTTGTTTGTTTGTTTTTGAGAGAGTCTCACTCCCACTCTGTCTAGAGAGCAGTGGCACGATCTTGGCTCACTGCAACCTCTGCCTCCTAGGTTCAAGCAATTATCCTGCCACAGCCACCTGAGTAGCTGCAATTACAGCCACCATGCCTAGCTAATTTTTGTATTTTTAGTAGAGACAGGTTTTTGCCATGTTGGCCAGGCTGGTCTCACACTCCTAACCTCAAGTAATCCGCCCGCCTAGGCCTCCCAAAGTGCTGGGAATGCAGAAGTGAACCACCTCGACTGGCCTAGCTGCACTTTTTTTGAGCTACGAGCAAAATACTACACCAAAATAACCAGAATATGTCTCACTGTACCAAATTATATTGCTGTCAATTAAAACTTTTATTCAATAAGGAAAAGAAAAATAAATGATTTAATAAATAACTAGAGAAAATTGTCAAAATTTTGTATTTGTTGTTGCATTATGAGTTTATAAAAAATTGGAAAACTTCTATAAATTTTTATAAATCACAACTTTTATAAATCAAATTTTAAGAATTAACTTGCAGAATTACGCTGTGGGAAAAAAAACCCTTTCTGATCTTTACACATTAAAACTATGACTTAAACATTAAAAATAGCTATGCTGCATAAAATTCACATATAATAAGTGTTATAGACAACTCCTGAGCTTTAGAGTTGGACACATGTAAGTTCAAATTCTAGTAGTAGTATTTTTTAGCCATGAACCAAACATCTTTGATTATCTGCTACTCAAGTATTATTTGTGGATAATAATGCCTACTTTACAGTATTAGTAGGAATATCAGTTGTTATTAACATTTGCAAATACCTTGTATATTGCAAGCACTGAATAAATTGTGATTAATAACTAATATTTACTTGTAGTATAATTACTATATGCCAGACATTATGCTGAATACTTCTCATGCATAATATCACGAAACACTCACAATCA
Source organism: Homo sapiens (assembly GCF_000001405.40). NCBI lineage: Eukaryota > Metazoa > Chordata > Mammalia > Primates > Hominidae > Homo > Homo sapiens. The sequence continues at coordinate 99,842,275 of NC_000011.10, read as the reverse complement.
CCATTGGCAATAATCAGTCCTTTTATCTTAGAGATGACAAAACTGAGACAGAAAACAATTAGCTAAATCTAGAAAGGAAATACCCGGGTGTGGTGGCTTACACCTGTACTTTCACCACTTTGGGAGGCTGAGGTGGGTGCATCATCTGAGGTCAGTAGTTTGAGAGAAGCCTGGCCAACACGGTGAAACCCTATCTGTACTAAACATACAAAATTAGCTGGGCGTGGTGGTGCGTGGGGTGCATGCCTGTAATTCCAGCTACTTCAGAGGCTGAGGCAGGAGAATCGCTTGAACAATGGAGGTGGAAGTTGCAGCGAGCTGAGATCGCTCCACTGCACTCCTGTCTGGGCAACAAGAGTGAAACTCCATAAAAAAAAAATATATATATATGTATATGTATGTGTATATATGTGTGTATATATATGTGTGTGTGTGTGTGTATATATATATACACACATATATACACACACACCACATATATATATATATATATAAATGTCAAACCTGGAATATAAATCTAAGGCTATTGAATTCTTGAAACTGCTTACTACTACCATGACTATTATTTCTTCTTATTTTTCATTCTTGTCATTCTCTTCCTCCTTCTTCATTCTCCTTCTCCTTCATTCTCCTCCTCCTCTTCTGCTGATGCTGCTTCTGCTGCTTCTGCTGCTTCTTTTCCTCCTCCTCCCCTTTTTCTCACTCTTATTATACTTATGTGCTAACATTTATAAAGCATGATTTTATATATGTATATATATTATCTAATTATCTCAGCTCAGTATCATAGTCATTTCTAATTGCAAGCTGAAAACTCCAAGCTTCTTAGAGGAGACTCCTGCAAAGTTAGCCGTATAAGAAGACAGTTGATTTTAAGATTCTCTGGTTCCAAATTTTATGTTCTGAAAATTGTGAAAACAGGACAAGAGAAATAAAATATGGTCCGGCTGGGGAAAACTAGAGAAGTAAGATTTGGTAAATTATAGGCTAAATAATAAGGGACTAATCTGAACATATATTTTATTATTACTGCCCATACTTTGTGAGACATCTCTTTGCTGTTCATTGTTAGTTCCCAAAGCATCTTAGCCCTATTCAGTGACTCCATCATTTATTTTGTTGCTGTTAAGCCAGTGCGTCAACATAAATGACAGTAAATAGAAATGTGAAAAAGAAAGTATTTCAAATGCCAAGTTAAACAGTGGCTCCCTTCCCTTCCTTTTTTCATCTTAGAAGTAAAATTCATGTTAAGGGGGGGAAAAGAAACATGTCTACGTACAGCTTCCCAGTCCCCAGCAAAGATAATCAGTGATGTTTCTACTGTAAAGAGATTATAGATATACTGAGATACATTTTTTATTCATTCTGCTGTAGCAGTGAATTTTATCTTCTGGTCATAATGATCCACTGTTTAAATCCATATACTTACATTCTGCACTCTTTTGCTTGATGGAATCTATAACTTGTTGGAGATAACACTTCAAATGCTGTATAATAGCAAATTATCACAAAGATCTTGATAGCCAATTAATTAAACTCTTCAACCAAGTAGAAGCCTTCGACACATTTGTGTAATGGGCAGATGTCATCACACACAATGTTAACGTCTCATAAAAGCAATGGTTTTCTGTGTTTTTTTCCTCTATCAGATCTCTTATTAACAAACTGCTAGGTATCTGTAGTTGGCTGAACATACAACGTCAGTGGTTATTGTCTGTGAAATGCCAGGGTCATACTCAAGAGGCTTTTTTTTTTCTTAGAAAAGAATTGTTTCAATTTGGAAATAATCTGTTTATTCTCTGCTACGAAGAATGATGGACTTCTCAAGTATACTTCTTAAATTTTCTCAATTGTTTGATAAGCATATTTTACAAAGTTTCTTATTCATAGTTCTTATTATGAGACTAGATACTTATGTATCTTCCCATGGTTTTTCCATTTCTAAGTTCCTTATTTTTTACCAAAAACAAGCTCTTGTATGCTGTATTCCTTTTTGCATAGTTAAGATGTATGTATTCTTTCTTTATCATTAAGAGACAACTTGGCAGGTATCAAATTACACGTTCACTACTAATTTAACTAATGATTTTGCGTGTATTTTTCCACCCTCTGGTAACAATGGACATTACCATGGTGAAGTAGTCTGACTCCGGCCTAACTGTCATCATTTTTAAGTGACCAGATTTTATGCATGGACACCCACAGGATTCTTTACTCACCCGTGAATATCAATAATTTTGAGGGATATGTCTTGGTGTAGTCATCTTGTACGATTTTTTTTTCTGTGACTCAGTTGGCCTTTTTAACTTTCAGTCTTATGACTTTCTTTTTCAGGAAAATTTATTTCTCATTTGCTCTATTCCCCTCATACCAGTTAGGCATACCTTGTTTTTCTTTAAAAAGAAAAAAAGTTCTCTCCATAAACTGTGTAATGGTTTATCTTCTTTTTTGTTTGACTTTGTTGAGTTTGGTTGCTGTATTACTATCTAATTAGGTGCAAATATATTACTACTACTAAGAGTTTCAACTCTTTAATCATTTTTTCTCTCTTCCATTTGTTTCCCGAGCTCCAAAACTTACATATCATATTCTATTATCTTATATCTACTTTGGTTTCTTATATTGCTTCTTTTAACTGTTCTTAGTAATGTGATTATCAGTAATATCTAAATGCATAGATGTTATATGTCTGTATTAACCCTATTTCCTTTTTAAGGACATCTGCGTGGTTCACAGGGAAAATCCTTAGGTTAGGAGTTTGACTATAATCTGACGGTTTCTCAATCTCTTGCCTCCTTCCCTCTGCCTCAACTTCAATGGTCCTCCCATACAAAAACTTAGATTGAAAAAAATATATATATATAAAACGCTTGTCATAGTAGTTCTTATTTCACTGCCTCCTTCGATATGTTCTGAAGTATCCTGAGTCATTTGTCCACTTTCACACAGACTTCACCCGATTATTTTACCTTTATTAATGAACAATTGAGTACACATTTCTTTTAAGGGCTGGTGACTTACCATTAGGTAAACTGATATTTGTCTTGAAGTCTGACGACAAAGGCAATTGTCGGATATTTCTTTCCTCATTATTTTCAAGCCTTTTTTCCTTGTTTCAATGAAAGTAACCTTTTCATGCCTCCTTTTTAATCTTGTTTGTTTTAATTGTATTTCAAAATAATGATATAAAGTAAACATGCCTTTTATATCATCTTTAGACCAATTAACTTGTGAAGAATTTTTCCAAACCTACTTGTGAAGAATTTTTCCAAACCTACTTGGGTTAGTTTAAAAGATATGTCCACAACTTTTTTGATAACCCTCCCTTCAAGGAGTTGAGCTTAATTTCTTTCCCCGTGAGTGTCAGCTTGACTTAATGACTTATTTCTAGCTAAAAGCAAAAGGCATACTATATTACTTCTAATACTAAGTAATGCAACTTCCTTCTGGGGTACACTTTCCTCGTGGGTCACTCCCTCAAGAAGAAGACCATTGCATATCCAAAGGAAATTTTTTCAGGCTGTGGAGAGGCCGACATGGTAAGGAACTGAAATACCTGGCTTGGCCAAAAGGCAGCAAGAAACTGAGGCCTAACAACAATCACATAGGTGAATTGTTAAGTGGATCCTCCCTTTGTAAAGTTTTCAAATGAGAATGGAGCTATAACTGACAGCATGACTGCAGCCTCATGAAAGACCTAGAGCCAGAACCTCCCAGCTAAGGTACTCAGATTTCAGACTTGAAGAGAAAATGCTTGATTGTTGTTTTAAATTGCTAAGTTTTGAGGATTTTTTAAATATAGGAATAGGTAACTAATAAACCATTTTTCCTCTCCCTATATTAATTGTGAGAAAATTATTTTAAAAATAAAAGATGAAAAAACAAAAAATAAGAGATAGAAGTATCATTTACAAAGAGTGATACTGGAGAAAATAAAAATACTTGATAGATGTTTGATTTTTATGCTATCATAGGGCCATAAGCTTTCAGAACTGGAAGAAGAACGATTCATTTCAGGCATCATTTCCAAAAATATCTGTGGGATCTATATCCAGTCTTAGCTTGGTTACATCCAGTAATACATGAGGTCATAACAGATTATTGTCTGAAGATAAAGTTCATCTTAAAATTAAAACCGTAAATTTGTATCCTAGATGAGGACAGTTTTTTACCCAATTCTACTCCATAATAGACATACTTTACTCAAGATTTTCTGGTAGTTACATTTACCTGCATGTTAATATAACTATTTAACTTATAGAAATTGACATATTTTCTGTATTTTATAAACTTCATATTTTAAGATTAAAATTTGAAGTTTCTACTAAGGATACCCTAAGTCCCTCTAATAAAATATTATGAAAAATGAGAAATTAACAAAAATGAAGTTTTTTTACTTTTAGCTTTTACTAAAACAAAGCTGTTTCTATATAACCCATAGAACTGACCTTAAATAATTTTAATCATAATCACTCAATAAAGTATTTCCTAAGAGCCCACTTTATTCTTGATGTTAAAATTATATTAGTGTAATTTTAATGTCATCATTATCACATGTGATATTTGATAGGTTTTTTTTTTTTTTTTTTTTACTCATGTGTGGCAAGTACTGGCTAGATGCTCCCTAATCCCATTTCCTTTTCCTAGGAACACTGGGACACTTTCTTGGCCTTTTTTAGGTTTGACATGGGGCCATGTGACTTAGTTCTAGACTGAAATGTATGTAAAATACAGGACTAGATACAAAAAAAAGTCATGCACAATCTTTTATCCTCTCCTATTTGTCAGTTTTCTAAAGGTAAAGGAGCAGAAGATGCCAGTAAGGCTTTAAAAGATATCAAAGATATTAGATCAACTGAAAGTGGTTCCAAAACTTTCTGTATGGAGAGCACTTCATTCAACAACTAAGCAGAATGTGATGTGAATACAAAAGAAACATGTTAATGTGTTAAGAAGTAATTTGTTATAGTGTCCAGAGTTTCTGATGTTGGCTAATATTACATTAAAATAAAATCATTTTAAACTATTAAAGAAGATGTAATTTCATTAAGAAACAAAGTTCATTGAACTGTATATCATCATCAGAAACATTTGAAACAGAGCAACTCCATCGTGAACAGAGGCTGGGAAAAATGAGACTGAGACCTACTGAGCTGCATTCCCAGATGGTTAAGACATTCTCAGTCACAAATAAGACAGGAGGTAAGCACAAGATACAAGTCATAAAGACCTTGCTGATAAAACAGGCTAAAGTAAAGCAGCCAGCCAAAATCCACCAAAACAAAAACAGCCATGAGAGTGACCTCTGGTCATCTTCACTGCTACACTCCCACCAGCACCATGACATTTTACAAATTCCATGGCAAAGTCAGGAATTTACCCTATATGGTCTAAAAAGGAGAGTCATGAACCACAATGTGATACCATCTCACACCAGTTAGAATGGCAATCATTAAAAAGTCAGGAAACAACAGGTGCTGGAGAGGATGTGGAGAAATAGGAATGCTTTTACACTGTTGGTGAGACTGTAAACTAGTTCAACCATTGTGGAAGACAGTGTGGCGATTCCTCAAGGATCTAGAACTAGAAATACCATTTGACCCAGCCATCCCATTACTGGGTATATACCCAAAGGATTATAAATCATGCTGCTATAAAGACACATGCACACGTATGTTTACTGTGGCACTATTCACAATAGCAAAGACTTGGAACCAACCCAAATGTCCATCAATGATAGACTGGATTAAGAAAATGTGGCACATATACACCATGGAATACTGTGCAGCCATAAAAAAGGATGAGTTTATGTCCTTTGTAGGGACATGGATGAAGCTGGAAACCATCATTCTCAGCAAACTATCGCAAGGACAAAAAACCAAACACCGCATGTTCTCACTCATAGGTAGGAATTGAACAATGAGAACACTTCGACACAGGGTGGGGAACATCACACACCAGGGCCTGTCGGGGGTTGGGGGAGGGGGGAGGGATAGCATTAGGAGATATACCTAATGTAAGTGACGAGTTAATGGGTGCAGCACACCAACATGGCACATGTATACATATGTAACAAACCTGCACGTTGCGCACATGTACCCTAGAACTTAAAGTATAATTAAAAAAAAAGAAAAATTAAAAAAAAAAAAAACAAGGGGAGGCATGAACAAACCACCCCTTGTTTAGCATATAATCAAGGAATAACCATTAAAATGGGTAACCAGCAGCCCTTTGGACTGTCTATGGAGTAGCCATTCTTTTATTTCTTTACTTTCTTAATAAACTTGCTTTCACTTTACGGACTTGCCCTAAATTCTTTCTTGCATAAGATCCAACAACCCTCTCTTGGGGTCTGTATCCGGACCTCTTTCCTATAACAATATTACATAGTCTTGCTGATAAACCATCTTCTCTAGTTCAGACCACTTGATTGCTTACTACTTAGCTAGCATGTATTTCCAGGCCTAGGGCCTATGACAGGAGGTATTTAACCAGTCAACCATGTATTTAGCTTGACCAGTTATAGTGCTCCAGTTTTTTAAATTAGCTTTCTACTTAATTCTTGAGCTCCAAGCCTTCTTCACATGGCCATATTCTGAAAATGGGTTTTCATCCATATGTTTCCATTCCTAAATCCTATGTTAACCCTTCTAGAAGGCCCAGTGCTATTACGTACACATTTATGTTGTATGGGTGCTGCTGTGGTTCTTGTTTTGGATTTTAAAGTGACTGACATTCACTATAGACTCATGTAATTAAGAGTCTGACATTATGTCAGCTCTTTGACTGCTGACAGCTTTCAAGCCACATTATTTGCCTTTTCCCTATTGCCTCACCTCTGGGCAAGGTCAGAAGTTGGGCACCTCCTGCCCTGACTCCAGTGGAGAAGTTTACACCACACAAACCCTGGCCCACATAGGAACCCTCATCCCAACCCTACCTCACAACCACAGTTAAAAATCCAAGTCATTCATTCCTTTTTTCACTCAGGCTGTTTTCATACCAATGTGTCTTCTCAGAAAGCCTCATGTTACGAAGAATAAATCTCTTCATACCCTTTTTGAACATATGCGTCATCATCAGTTTCTGCATCTGAACCAATTTTAGGTAGTGATGGTACTGATCTTACCCGCCACAGGGCAACCACGTACAGCAAAGTAGGACTCAATAATCTGGGTAAAGGACAGAGTCTCCTTGGAGGGGAACATAAACTTTTTGAAAGGAGTTTGCATCATGGAAGCAATAGGTCTTCAAACAGTTAACTGAAACATGGAAGGTAGACATATAAGAAGGGAAACTCCTGAATTACTCTGGATAGCTTTCTCTCAGCTTTACATTAGGAAAACAAGGTATCAAATAAATGGCTAGGGCAAGATGGTCTTGACTGTGGAGGCAGTCATCTAGAGTAGCATAAATCAGAGATGTTTAAACTAAACTTGTAAATTATAAAATCATATATATGTATTCCTGTTTTTCCCTTACTCTTTTGTTATCCCTGAGCCTTAGTAGTAACCCCATCTATCTTAGTCTCAGCAAGTTGAGAAAAACAATATGGAATGGAGAAAAAGTACCTTACATCCATCTAGCAGTTCTCAAAGTTTTTAAATCATAACTATTTTATGCTCTTCCTTTGTGATTGTCAAATGAAATTAATGAATATTCTAACTACCTACGGGTAATTCTTTTAAAAATGATTTTAAAAGGACAAATAAAAGTGCAATCGTTTGCTGTAAAATTGTGGTTTGGTCTTTTCTTTTCTTGAAACAAGGTCTTGCTCCGTCATCCAGGCTGGCACAATCATGGCTCACTGCAGCCGCAACCTCCTGGGCTAAACCAATCTTTCTACCTTAGCCTCCCAAAGTGCTGCAATTACAGGCATAAGCCACTGTGCCCAGCCTAAAACAATATTTAATTCAATAAATTTTCAATATGTAAGTTTTCAGAATTATAATAGACAACATAAAGAAGCAATCAAGAGTTTTTGTTCATAAAAATCCCCGTGAATGCAGCATCTACAAACGCAAACTAATCCAGGTGTCTACAATTGGTGACCCAAGTGTCATGAGAGGCACCAGTGTTAGGTAGTAGGTATTCTAAATGGACAACAACCTCTGGTTAAGTTCTGAACAAAACTAAGTGTAATCTTGCAATTCATACAGTGTTTGCATTAAAATATCCACTATATTTAAAAATACCACATAGGTAATGAAATATCCAGTCAGATTATTTTACCAGATAACTATGAAGAGAATTTTCACTCACAAAAATGCCTGTCAGGACACTTAAGAGTCCTGTGCTTTGCAATTATAGGACATTTGGAATTCCTGGTCTCTACTACCTAAATGAAAGTTACATCCTTGAATAACTGAGACTACCCCCACAAATGTCTGAAACACGAAGAAGGAAGCGACACAGCAACTGGGAATCACTGAGCTAGAGCAAGAAACAGGAGACAATGGCTGCCTAAAGTTAGCCTGGTGTTGGCAAGAGTCTTCTACAAGAGGGTCTTGAACAGGATGATCAAGTTCTATTATAAATTATGACTCTGGAAGCCCCATCTACCTATCTCCAAGTGGAGTTTCTAGGAGCAGTAGTACAGATGCTCTTCAGTTTACAATAAGATTGCACCTCAACAAACGTATTCCTAAATTTAAAATATTATAATTCAAAAATGCATTTAATTCAACTAATATACTGAACATCAGAGTTTATCCTAGCCTACTTTAAAGTTGTTCAGAACACTCACATTAGTCTCCAGTTAAGCAAAGTCATCTAACACAAAGATTATTTTATAATATAGTTTTATCATCTCATGTAATTTACTGAACACTCTACTGAAAGTAAGAAACAGATTGGTTGTATGGGTTCTCAGAGTATGGTTTCTACTGAATGCATATCACTTTCACACCATCATAAAGTTAAAAAATTCTAAATCAAACTACCTTAAATTAGGGATTGTCTGTATATTATCTTGTTATGGAGACAATAGTTTCCTTTATAGAGTCCTGTCCTAGGATCAAGTTAGTGTCCGGTCCTCTCTAGCTCCTTCTGAAACTTCTGCCACTTACTGATAGGCTACCCAGATACTAACTTTATAACTTCCTTCATATCAAGACATTTTAAGTATCATCCATCTGAGACTCCTGCAGCCAGGTTCTCAGAAAGGATTGCTTTTTGGTTTTGGATCACTGTTTCGATTGTTTTATTGGATCATGACCCAACATTATCATGTCTCCCTCAATTCTAAATCTGCCTTTCAGGCTTAAATCCTCTTTTTAACATCAACTTCTGTGCTTATTTTTCTCAGGGATTACATCTACATCAACTTCTGTGCTTATTTTTCTCAGGGATTACATCTAATGCCAGGCTGCAACTGTTCTGCCTGCTGGTTAGCTGTAATTTATGTCTGTGACTAGCTTATTCATGTAATGTAAACTAAGTGTCTCAGTAATATAATATAAAGGAAATAGCAGCCTATCATGCCCAATAAAATTTTAAGAAATGCCATTTTAATGATCATTAGTATACTTTATGTGACAATTTCAAGAAATTTTGAAGTGTTAACTAGAAATTATATTTTATGATGACATAGTTACAAGGTGAGAAAAATTTTTGCACCAAGTATCTTAGATGAATTCTTAAAAAAATTGTCCAAATCTTCTTTTAACTTTAAGTTGCCTTTCAACATTGAAATGAAGTTTATGAAACTTAAACAAGTATAAACTATAAAACCTTCAAGGATTTCTAAGAATTGAAGAGAACGATTTATTAACAAGCATATTGATGAATGTTTCATGGGTAGTGTAGCATTTCGTTGTACACACAACATAAGTTAAAGTCTAATAGGTTTTTTGTCACTTTCGTACAGATATAAAAGAGAGGTCAGAGGATGCAGTAATATTATCACTTATGATAACAATCAAAGTGCACCAACTCCATGTGTTAGGTTGATGCCAATGTAATTACAGTTTTTGCCTCGTTGGGATTTGCCATTGGATATTGGAATGCATTGTTAAATGTGGTTATGTTATATATCATTTTAATGGGCATTTCTTGCTTTTTTGCTAATGACTTATTACTTGATTTTTTTTTAGACTATGGAAATGATGTTAGACAAAAAGCAAATTCAAGCAGTTTTCTTACTCGAGTCCAAAATGGGTCATAAAGCAGCGGAGACAACTCATAACATCAGCAACACATTTTGTGCAGTAACTGCTAATGAATGTACAGCACAGTGGTGGTTCAAGAAGTTTTGCAAAGGAGACAAGGAACTTGAAGATAAGGAACTCAGTGGTTGGCCATTGGAAGTTGACAACAACCAAATGAGAGCAATCATGAAAGCTGATCCTCTTCTGACTACACGAGAAGTTGCTGAAGAACTCAATGTCCACCATTCTAGTCATTTAGCATTTGAAGCAAATTGGAAAGGTGAAAAACCTTAGTAGGTAGGTGCCTCATGAGCTGACTCAAAATTAAAAAAAATAACATTTTGAAGTATCATATTCTCTTATTCTATGCAACAACAATCAACCACTTCTCGATCACATTGTGACATGCAATGAGAAGTGGATTTTATAAGACAACTGATGATGACCAGCTTAGTGGTTGAACAGAGAAGCTGCAAAGCACTTCCTTAAGCCAAATTTGCACCAAAAAAAAAAGTTATGGTCACTGGCAGTCTGCTGCCAGTTGGATCCGCTATAGCTTTCTGAATCTTGGTGATACCATTACATCTGAAAAGTATGCTCAGCAAATGGATGAGCTGCACCAAAAACTGCAACGCCAACAGCCGGCACTGGTCAACAGAAAGGGCCAAATTCTTCTCCACCACAATGCCTGACTGCATGTCACACAAGCAATACTTCGAAAGTTGAACGAATTGAGCTATGAAATTTTGCCTCATTCTCTATATTCATCTGACCTTTTGCCAACCAACTACCACTTCGTTAAGCATCTCAACAACTTTTTGCAGGAAAAACACTTCCACAACCAGGAGGATGCAGAAAATGCTTTCCAAGAGTTTGCTGAATCCTGAAGCATGGATTATTATGTTAGAGGAATAAACAAATTTATTTTTCATTAGCAAAAATGTGTGGGTTCCTATTTTGATTAATAAAGATGTATTGGAACCTAGTTATCATGATTTAAAATTCATGGTCCGAAACCTCAATTCCATTTACACCAACCTAAGATTCACAGGATGCCAAACCAATAGGTCATCTTGTTGAAGGTGGACATTATTCTTTCTCCTTTCCATTTATAATCCAAAATCCACTATTGTGTTCAAAAATATTTAGTAAATATACTATCATGGTATAGAAATTCAGCCTATAGATTTCAAGAAAAATGAAGCAGTCCTCAAATAGGTTCCTGCTTATTTAATATTTGTTAAGCTCCCAGTAACCTTGCACTGCTGTAAGTGCTGAAAGAGAATAAAGAGGAGACTATGAAATGGTATTTGCTCACACCACATATACTTAAATTGGTAAAAAAGCATTTAAGTATAAAATAATAAATGGCTTTAAAATTAAGACTACAATAGCAGAATAAAGTCATAAAGTTTTGATGAATGGTCATAAGACTGTAAAGTTATTATTAGAATATGGTCTCAATTTTTAAATTGGGGAAACTGACATGATGTATTTTATTTAGAAGTGTGTCATCCAAATAAAATACAATTTCCCCCTCCAAGAGAGAATTCTTATTTTCATAAAAGATCACATTTTGTGCTTGTGTCTCTCAAACAATTTATCAGCAAAGAGTATTTTGAGGAAACAACAGAAAATTGTCACCAAAGGGGTTGCTTTGAGTCAGGATGCCATTGCCCATGTGCCAAGTCAAATCTGTTAATAAATCATGTTCATGATAAAATTTAGCCAAAAGTACTGAAGACATAAGGCCACAAATTTGTAAATGCAGGAATCATCCAATTGTCAGAAGACAGTGCTAAAAATTTTAAAAGCTTGCGTAGACACAGAGGGTTTATAAAGTGCAGATTGTGTTTACCATTGAGGGAATTAAAGAGAGCAAAATTATGTGCTTAGCCTTAGTAGAAAAATAATTTGCTTCCTCTAAGGACCACCATTTCCGCCATCAAAAACAGCACTGTAGTCTCTGAATCAGGACAAACAGAAGAACATGCTCCCCGCCCCCGAAAAAAGTTTGACCTATCTAATTTGAATCACTCCTAATCCAGACTGCCTCTCTGCAAAAATAAAATATCTTAACCTAACCATCTCATCACAAATAGAAGAATGAAATGCACCCTACACTTAATTAAGTTTACTCCTACTAAAATCATAACAACAATAAAAACAGATGAAATCAAGGATCAGTTTATATTTATAGAGGGAGGAACAGGTATAGTGTCAGCTCTGGTTAATAATCCTTGCCTATGTCCCCCGAAAGCATATATCCTGCATGTGTCTGAGGTGTTAACTCATAAGAGCTTTCAATTAACCTATGTTACCTTGCATATTTTTACTTTAAACCTTGGTCAATTTTTTAAATCACTTAAATGTCACTCTTTGTACTCAAATAACTACTTTAGAGTAATTATTAACAACTCAGTTGTTCCTTTTTAAACCACATTATACCTCTTAGGTCTATGAAACATTTGCATTGACACAATTTCAAGAGATCAAAGCTATTATCCAAAATAACAGTATCGGGTTGAAAACAGAGTAGATACTGAGGACTTTTCTGGTTGCTCAACGCCAATGAGCAGCACTCACCTTTCCAGGTACTGCTCCATTTCTCTTCTTTATTTTATGAGACTAGCTCAGAAGTTTTTATTCATTGACTATGTGTATCTCTTCACCTCAATCAAGTATCAGTGACTGACTACTGTGCCTTTCTTGATTATTTTCAAACATAAAGCCTGGGGATGACCAAAGTATAACATGTGATGTGAATTCTCTGCCTAGTATGGACCAGTCCACAATATTCACAACCATGTTTTCATCGTCATGCAACACAGTAATTCTGAATGCAGCCTTTTTCTGTACTTCCTAAATGTGGACATATGTATAGCAAATTATGAGATTAACCTCTATCCAAATATTTTTAAGTAGATTAGAATATGTATTTTCATCATTTCAGATCACTAAAAATTTTGATGCTTCTTTAAGTATATCACCAGGGAATATCTTCAAAAGAACAGAGCTAATTAAAATATAACCAAAAGCTTCCTTATTTTTTTTGTAAATCACACTTTTTAAACATCACAACATAATCACTAAATTTGCTCTAAATGGAATAGCTTTTGTTGCTAAAATGATCTAACTACTATGATAAATAATAAAGTGAAATCAGACATGATGTTTTCTAATTCTCGCTGGAAATAGAATATAGCAAGTACAGATACATTCCATGAATATGGGAATATTTTATACAAAAGCTCACATTTAGATGGGATTTGTCATTGTTTAAGACAACTACTATAATCAAATTTAATATCTGTGACTAAAATACATCATCAACATGACCACTGAAGATAAAGATACATGATTTTAATAATGTAAATTCTCTTGAGTGTAGTAAAATAATATATGAAAGGTTCTTTCAGTTTTCCATGTATCTTACTTAAATTTGGATAAAAGCTTCCATGATTATGCATGTGTAAACAAAAACTATTTCATATTCATTGATAATTAACTTTCTATTTAATAAAATAGCATAGGGTATCGGCTATGATTTCAAGGTGCTTCCCTTTAAAATTTATATTAAAAGTTAATTGATATTGTAACAGCATTAAGAGGTGGGACTTTAAGAGGTGGTTAGGCCATTATTGTTGCAATTGCATTATCCATTCTTGCTCTCACTGTCTCTGCCCTTCCATCTTCACCATATGATGACACAGCACGAATGTCCCCACCAGATTCTAGCACTTTGTATCAGACTTCTCTGCCTCCAGAATTGTGAGCCAACACATTTCTGTTCATTTTAAATTACCCAGCCTGTGGCATACTGTAACAGAATCACAAAATGGACTAAGACAGAATGCTATCATTAGTTTACAAAGAAGCAGTAGCCATTATATAAAGGCTCATAAAGTTTTTTTTCACAAATTACTCTTATAATGAGCTATTCACATTACTGATTTAGTACTTGACCAAAATCATTGTACATATCTCTGAAGATCTATATAACTATTATTATTTTATTCTATTTCAAATAGAAAGTATAATACATATGAATGTGCTATACAATCATACTTATCAAATACTTTCAAAACTTTAGAGATTAAAACAATAACTCTCTTGTGATGAGTTAATGTACAGCTTGCACACAGTAGATGGCCAATATCTCCTACAGAAAAAATGTAAAAAGTACATCTCTGTTTAATAAACTTGTACAGATAGTGTTTTATGTTCACAGTAGTAATCCTATTCTACATATGTTATTGACCGATCAAAGAAAAATAGTCGAGAGAGCTGCGTAAAAATTTGCGTCACAAACATTCAGAAAGCATTCTGATTACTGTTAACATTATACTATAGAGAGGTAAAGTAATTGTATAAAGGAGCCATTCAAGCTACTTTTTAGAGCCAATCTGTTAATAAGCCTCTAAAAATATTTGTTAAAATATTGGAAACAAAGCTATGTGTAAGTTATTACAGATATACACTTTGTCTCTATGAAAATGTTTCTGGGCCAAAACAGACCTAACAAAAATATGTGTTATCACTATATGCTGCTCATGTTTCTTCTGGAATTTACTCTAACAATTTAGTCTAGTCTTGTTTTAAATTTTACCTTTTAATTTAGTCCCACATGGTTGGAATTCTATAATGGATTCAGGCTATTGCTGTTATAATGCTGAAAACATTTCAGGACACACAGAAGACAATTAGACATAATAAAACTTAAAAAGAACCAATGAATGGGCTGGGCACAGTGGCTCATGCTTGTAATCCCAGCACTTTGGGAGGTCAAGGTGCGTGGATCGCCTGAGCTCAGGAGCTCGAGACCAGCCTGGACAACATGGTGAAACCCTATCTCTACCAAAAAACACAAAAATTAGCTGAGTGTGGTAGTGTGTGCCTGTAGTTCCAGCTACCAGAGAGGCTGACGTTAGAGAATCGCTTGAACCCTGGAGGCAGAGATTGCAGTGAGCCAAGATCAGGCCATTGCACTCCAGCCTGGGCCACAGAGTGAAGCCCTGTCTCGCATTAAAACAAACAAAAACAAAACAAAACAAAAAGCAAAAAACCAATGAACACAGCTGCTCTGACCAAATATATCTATGTGGAGAGACTCTAGTAGAATACAGGGTGATGAACTATTATTTTCTCTTTATCTCTGCTACTACTGCTTTCCTTGAAATAATTATCAGTTTTTTCCTTTATAAATGTGAAAGCATCTTTCTGATCCCCCCCTTACTTCCTTCCTCCCATGAGAGAGACTTTATTATTATTTTAAATCTGCATGCTCAGAGGTCTCACAGGCAACTGCTGCTAAAAAGATTCCACTGATTAATGGAGGCTTGCTGTTAACACAGATAAAATTTTTAGACTCCTTAATAAGAAGCCTATTTATAATTTCATTGCAGCCATTCATACTTTGCTACAACTATAATATATAACGTGCAGTTTCCTTAAACATAGGAGTGTTCTCTCTTACCCCTTTGCCATTGAACACATGATTTCTTTTATCTATAATGTACTTCTACACATGCAATATATTTTAGATCCAGTATCACTTCCTCAATTTTGCTTCACCCGATCATACAACACAGGTTAAATTTGATGCCTCTATTCTATGTTACCAAATAATACTGTACCTCTGTCATGATACCTATAACAACAGGTTGGATGCCTTTTGTGTGTACGTATGTGTGTCTGTTTCTGTGAGCATGTGAGGCTACAGTACATTGAAAGGTGTGGACTTGCAAAGATGAAAGAAGGCAGATATAGCTTCTTGACTGTGAACTTAGTTAAGCTATTCCCAGGGAAAGTGACTGAATCTCAATAGCCCCAACAGAACTGTAATGCCTCAAAATGTCATTATAAGACATTTTAAAGACATTATAAGACATAATAAAAATACTTCCTTTCCACATGTACTTGCAAAGAAAACCAAAAATTACAACATAGATAAAAAATTCTATATTGCAAAAAAAAGCCAAAGTCAATAATAGGAATAAGAACTTATCCCAGATAAAATACACTTATATCTATCAGGACTTTAAAATAAATATGCTTACGATACTCCAAAGTACAAATTCAGGAATGGACTTCCTTAAACTAAGTAAGCATATATAACACAAAAAAGTGTAGAAATGAAGAACAGACGAATCAGAAAAAGAGCTGGATTTTGCACATTTGAAAAGAAAGATGTTGTATTTTCTCTGAAATTATAACATTTCTATATTATATTTTCTTTTGAATTGTCTCTTAAGTGCTGGGTGAATAAGCAAAAATAAATTTACTTTTAGAAAGTACATAGTAAAGGTACAAAATGGCAAGCATTAGAAAAAAATAACTTCCACAGGGAAGTCTATTAACAAAGGAAATAACAACTAGATTGATAAACTTGCCCGCTACAAAAGAGGCCAGCAGATACTTAAAGTACAAAGGGAACATAACTATCAACCTAGAAATTTTACACTTTCCAAAACCATCTATCACTCAAGAGTAATGGCAAAATATATTTTCAGACAGATAAAGACTAAGATAGTTTGTCACAGTGATATCCTTTTTACCACAAAATATGCTTCATCCAAAAAGTGAACACAGAGAAAAATTATAAGAAATTATGACTATAGATAGTGATGTTACAGAAAATATAATTAAGTATTGATTTTTAAACATATTTTTGTGAATAAGGTAAAATTAGTAAAAGAGAAAACACTAAAGGACGCATATGTTTGAAACAACAAAATTATCAAATAATGTTATACTTGAGAAATTTCTTAATTTCATTAGTGATAATCACTATAGACTAAGTTAATGGTAATCACAAAAGAAATAGGCATATGATGCAAAAAAAATACAAGAGAGAGGAATTACATATAGAAAACAGTCTATCTAATGTAAAGCAAGGGAAAAGCGAAAACATCCTAAAGAAATTAAAGAGTCTGGCAGATACTGGCTACTTTTAACCAAACCTTTTCTGTTTTCCTCCTAAGCACACAAGCAATTTTTACAAACTATTTTTACAAGCAATTTTTCCAAATATAGTATCTAACACATACTATTAGACAACGCCATATGAGCAAGAACTAACAGAAATAACAGACAACAGTAACAGATTGATAGGGCTCTATATACCAACTTAACAAACACTATGCTATTCTTACTATATTATTATTTTCGAGGAGACAAAAACTGTATGAGATCTAGGAATAAGCTTAAAGATGTGAAAAATGTTTTCCAAAAAATTAAACCATGTTACTGAAGGATTTAAAGTATATTTTTAACATATATAAGTGAGTGGTTTCACAAATCAGTGGAGATCACTGACATTGGTTAATACATACCACTCCAAAAATGGAAAACAAATAAAATCAGGTAATTACTTCATATTACATACAAAAATAATTTCATGTGGTTTAAACACCTAAATATGAAAATCAAAATTTAAATTTGGAAGGAAATAAAAATTTAAGGTAAAAAGGGTTTTTTTTAGGACATGAAAAGCACAGACTACAAAGGAAAATATTGCTATATCTCATTACACAAAATCAAAAAATTCTGTTTAACAAAAGGTACTACTGACAAAGTAAAAAGTTAAGTTACATTCTGAGAAAATATATCCGCAATGCATTTAACCAGTGACCAACTGATTTGTAAATTTCCTACAGTTAAATGTAAGTAAAATATTCTAACAGAAATAACAGTCAACATATATGAATAAGAAATATGCATTAGAAAAAACCAGAATGTCCAATATTTACATGAAATTTCAACCTCACTAGTCAAGAAAATGCAAACTAAACCACAATAAAATGGTATACTATACTCAAGAGATTGCCAAAAAAATTTTATGTTGGTGACAATGTGGAGAAATACGAACACCTATACAATAATGTTGGTAGAAGTGTCAATCACTTTGGAAAGCAATTTGACAGTATCTGGAAATGTTACAATGCTTTTATATAAAAATTGCACTCCTAAAATACTTATAATACAATTACCAATGAGGCATGAAAAAATCCATTTGACATGTAACAATGTAAAATTAAAACAACCTAAATATTTACAAAAAGGGAATGAATAAAGAAACTGTAATTGAGTCCTAGTGTGGTATGCTTTACAGGAAATGAAATGAACTTAGAACTGAAGATACCAAGATACATGAATCTCTAGGATATAATGTTGATCCAGAAAAGGTGGATCATGACTGATATACACAGTATCATTGACACAAAAATTTTAAAGAACAGTACATGTACTTTATAGGCTTCACACATATAGAAATATAAATATATGCATGTAAATGACAAAATAAGTATAGTAATTCCTCTAAGAGTGGAGAAAGTGTGAGACACAATCCAAGCAAAATACTCAAGAACTCTCAAATTTAATTTTATGTCAAAAAATACTGAAACAAATTTGGAAAAATATTAAAGTTTAATAAACTTAATATATAGTCACAAGACACTTTCATGAAATTATTATTTCCTTTATGTTTTCAATATTTGACAATTTCTAATGTAATGAATAAAGAATAATACATTTAATATAAACTATGAGCACTTAAAATAGTAGGACAATTGGAATTATATCTCTTCTAATTGCAGCATTTGCCTTTTTTTTTCAGATTTTCTCTGTAGCATCTGTTTATATAACAAACAGGACTAAAAAGTAGGCCTTGTAGAAAATATAAAGGAGAACAAAGAAGAATGCATAATCAAGACCTGAATAAACAAATCTGGGCTGAATGTAGGAACTGGCTTCCTAGAAAAGAATACCAACCTGTTGAGATAATCACAAGATGACACAGCAACTTAAAATAGATGAAACATATAAAGGAAACTTTAAAGCTATGAAACTATGAGAATGATTTTCTGCAGAAATATAGAATTACAGTTAAAATAGTAGAAAGGAAACCCAGAAAATGAACAAAGATTATGTGTTTATTACCTCACAGCCTTCGTGGGTCAGGGAAGCAGGTGTGGCTCAACCCTTGCTCTGTGTCTTTCAAAAGGTGGGAGGCTGTCTCATCCCAATGTTCGAATAGGTACGGATACACGTGTAAACTCACTCACGTGACTACTCATAGGATTCAAATTCCTTAGGGGTGTTGAACTGAGTCCTTCACTTACTCTTGGGCTGTTGGCCAGAGGCCACTCCCAGTGGGCCTGTCAATAGGACAGCTCTCAGCACGAGCTGACTTCCATTAATATGAGCAAGCCAGAAAGCAAAAAAGACAAACAAGATGGAAGCCAGTGGCTTTTGTAACCCATTGTTGGGAGTCATATCCCATTACTTTATTTATAATCTATTCTCCAGAGGCAAGTTAATAGCCATAGCCAACAGATAAAGTGAGAGATTACATTGTAAATGCCAAGTGAGAATTACTGTGAGACATTTTAGTGTCTAGTCACTACAGGAGTTATATTTATTTCAGATTTTTTCTTTCAAGAAATAAAGTATCAGTAAGTTGAGATAATGTATATACCCTCTCCTGGTACTTATTTCCTGCTCTCATTCTCCCTTTGTCCGCAGTGGTAAGCACTGCAGTCAACCTGCTATCTCAAGTTCATGTTTTAAAATTATACCACTTATGTGTATCCATAAATAGGATATATTTTTCCATTGTTTTACATAAGTGATATCATATTATATATAATACTCCATAACTTACCATGTTCACTCTCTATTTTGAGGTCTATCCATTTTCTTTCTATTCACTTTAACAGTTTTAGTTCTCCATTAAATAAAAATAATACAACGTATCCATTCCCCTTCTGATGGACATCTGTTTCCAACCTTTACTCTTAAACATATTGTGGTGAAGATGCGTTTTATTTCCTCGTACTTGTATGGGAAGGTTTCTCCAAGTTGTATATCCGGAAGTAGAATTGCTTCCCCAAATTGCTCTGTAAGCTGAGTCTTTATATTTTTCATAAAAATCTTTGCTCTGTCTGGGGTACTTCTTGGCTTAACTCTGAACAGGAGTGGGATGACTTTCTATTCAGGCTCTGTTACTTTTCTCATTTTTCGTAAGAGCATGTCAACCTCAGCTTTACTCTCTATTAAGGCTAAAGGGAATTACCTGACAAAAGCCATACGTCAGACTCTTGTCAGAGAAAAAGAACTCAAAGTCACATCTAGCTAAGATTTATAAAATGCTCAGAAGAGAAAACAGTAGTTATGGAAGATTACTTGGAAAATACTCAGATTATCCATTCTTCCTTATACTCTAAAATATGGATTAAACTAGATTAGCAGAGGACCAAATGATATTAAATTGGTTACCAGCCTAGAGCCTTGCCACTCAGTAAGTATCATCCACAGATCAGCACCATCACCATCACCTGGGAGCTTTTTGTAAGTGGTATTCTCTTGCCCTACCTCAATCTTTGAAGGGGGGTCTTATTTTAATGAGGGTTTTATCTGTAAAGATTGAGGAGCACAGTTTTAGAGAATTACTACTTCTCATTTTGTTGTTTCTGTTTGGGTTTCATCTGCCTTTATTGAAACAGATGAAACTCATTATTATGGGTACAGTAAAAGTAATGTTCAGGTCACTTGCCATTATATCGAATAATAAACTCCTAATGATGATCTTCCAGAAAAAAAAAATTGTCTAATCAAAGTGTCAGAGAGTTGTGCTTTTACTGAATAACAATTCTATTTTAATATTTGAAATACTGTGAAATATGTAACTGACCAGATTTTCTTTCTTTTCTGTCTGCTAATTACCCAAAATAGGATCAGCTCACAGTAGGTGTACAAGCATTAATAGTAGACACCTTGAATTGTTGTCACAGCTGGCTCCATCTTATGTCCCAATATTTATTGTTCTCATCATTTTCATGGATTTGAATTCATACTTATATTGACCATTGTGACTACCTTAACTTCCATTTGATACAAGAGAACAAAGAGGCAGAACACTAGTTGGCTGAAAATTATACCGACTATACAAGTAGATCACAGTTCTGATCACTTGATTTTCTACCTTAATGCCACTCCACAAGATAATAATGCCTAAAGAAAATATGTTTCATATTAGGCTTAAGGTAATAGAAAGTTAAAAACTTATATTAAATGTAAGTACTTTGGAAAATAAAACATTTCTGGAGTTCTAACATCATGCTTACATACAACTTAGATGCCAACACTACGAGACAATGCTGCACATGGCAACAATTGGTATAATCACAAAGGATAAGTTTGCCTGCACCTGGCACCACAACCTAATAATTGACATTCCCAGAATCTTTCCAATATCTTAGTTCCTTCGAGATGTATCTTTGAATGTTTATTCTTTCATCAGTCATAAATGAAATGCAGCCTAAGTGTACTAGTCTTAAAATCATTGTTGATGTGAATGAAAATTAGCTATGATACCTATTAGCAGTGTGACCTTGTGAAAAATACTTATCTGTCCCAGAGTTTTCATTTCTATAGAAGGCAGTAACAATATCTACTTCACATATGTGTTGAGAAAACTGAATGGCATATCTATATAAAATAGACTGGATAGAGACTAGTAATAACAGGTGCCGTTCATCCTGCTGTTAATGAACCAGGCATTATTTTGTCGATGGATCCAAAAATGACAAAGGTAGACAACATCTAGAAAATGTTATTCAAACTATAAAGCCAATAGCTGTAGAGCAGTCTTTAATTTAACTGATATCTTAGTGTTGGATATATAGATTTTTTCTTATTTTCCATTCATAAGTAATGCTAAGTATATACTTATCTTTGCGTGCTCTCTTTATTATTTTCTTACACAGAATACACTTCCAGAAATAAAACCACTGGATTGAAGGATAGGTCTGTTTTATGTTTCCGATATTCACTGTCAAATTGGCCTTCCAAAAATGTCTATTTTTACTTTCATTCTACGAGAGTATTTAGTCTTAATCCTAAATTATAATTGGTATAGAGTGCAATTACATAATAATGCATACAAATCCTTTAAAGATGTTTAGAAAAGAAGACTAACTTACAACCAACACAGGCTCTTGTCATTTTTATAACCCAGTAGTGTCTGTCTCAAGGCCTGGGAGCTCTCCATTTGAAATGAAACCATCAAGAAACAGGTTCTCTATCTCCCAGTCTCTATGAAAAGGTAGTAGCCTAACTTCAACAAGCACCAATCAATAAACACAGATGGCCTAGTCACATTTACCAGTATCTCCCCTAACATCCTCCAGTTTTCTACTAGCTCACCCCAGCTTTAAAAACTCTCCTGCTTTCATTTTTAGCAGAGTTGAGTTCAATCACTCTCTCCTACTGGAATAGTCTTGATCTCTGTTGCAACAGTATTAAATAAGTCTTCTTTGCCTCCTTTATTCTATCTGGAGCCATTTTCCTTTGACACTTACCATCTTGTTTGAAGGCATCTGAGGAATGATAAAGATTGATGGGGGAATAATAATTCTGAGCTGCCCCTAGCCAGCTGGGTGAAGAAGCACTCAGTGTTCCTAATGAAGGGCTGCTGTATCGTGGTCTGGTTTTGGAACCAAAGAGAGATGAAGATGAACTCTTCTTAATTCTTAACAAAGCAGCATATGAAGTGGAGAGACCAGGAAGAGATTTTGAATACTCTGTAAGAGAAAAAATATAATAAAATCTGAATTTTGAGGAAACTAGTTTATTTTTTTCTTATGAAGATTGTTTCTTTGAAGACATTACTAAAAACCTTCTTTGGAGCTGCAAGCAAATTCAGATTACAGTGAGAGTGTGAAAAAATGTTACTTTTATATTTTTTAATATTTTCTGAAAATTCTACTAGCTATAATATTAAGGAAAGGAGGGGAGGGGAGGGGAGGGGAGGAGAGGGGAGGGAAGGGGAGGAGAGGAGAGGGAAAAGGAAAAATGATGGCAGAAGGGAAGGAAGAAAGCAAGTAGAGAGAGAGAGGTAAGTAGGAAAGAAGGGAAGACAGTCAAAAGCCCAAGCTTTATACTTTGTCAGGAAAATTTGTAAATTAACTTTTAAAAGTTTACCTTAATATTACAATACCCATTCACATAGATCAGTTCTTTCCTTATTATTAAAATGCAGTGAGGAAACCAACATTTCACTTATATTCTACAAACATAGATAGGAACTTCATTTACTAAAATTTATTATGTAGTATGAGGTGTGTTCAATGTAGCACATGTGTTTTAACTAGGCTCTAAGTAATACCTCATGTTCTTGAAAAGTAGTCAAATTCACTCTGGTACATAAAAAAATGAATGAAATTTATTTTCTAGGTTTTATTATCTAATGTGTACAGATTAATACTATTAAGTGGGGAAACAATGATGAAATTTTCATTTTTATTGATTATTGATAAATTTCATATTTTAATTCCTAAGGTGTTTGGTTAGAAAGGTTGAGCATCCTGCCTAAAATGGATTGAACTAACTTTCCTTTATGTCCATAAGAAACAATAAGTTTAGTATATGGATCAAATTTTTAAAAATACAAACTAATTATGATGAACTCTAAAGAGAAATAAGGAATTGGAAATTTTTTATATGTACAGTATCAATTAAGCTGGACAATTTGCTGATCTTGGAAATACTTCTAAGACTCTGGCAGTTTGTGGCCAGGCACGTCGGCTCATGCCTTTAATCCCAGCACTCAGGGAAGCCGAGGTGGGAGAATGACTTCAGCTAGGTGTTTAAAACCAGCAAAAGCAATAAAGTGAGACCCCATCTACACAAAAAGTACAAAAAGTTAGCCACATGTGGTGGCACATGCCTGTAGCTCCAGTTACTGGGGAAGCTGAGCTGGGAGGATTGCTTGAGCCTGGGAGGTTTAGGCTGTAGTGAGCTGCGATCATGCCACTGTACTCCAGACTGGCAACAGGGCAAGACCCTGTCTCAAAAAAAAAAAAGGTAGTTTTGTTCAGAGTATCTGGCCTTTAAACTTAATAATCATTGCTAACTAAATTTTTGATTAAAAAAAGTATCACTGTAAGTAAGCTTTCTCATAATTAATTAAAATTATTTAGAATAATTATGCTGTCTTACAGAGATATTTTAGAATGCAAAAAGCATTTTTCTATGATTTGAAAATAACACTTTAGGTGTTAAGCATCAAATTAAGTTTAATATTTTCTGTTCTGTGAAGCTGTAAATATGATTTCTCTGAAACTCTAAAAAGTATATTTTTAGATGTTTTCCACACTTAAAATGAGCATGATATGTGTAGCCCAAGACCATCAGGAGGTGTTAAGAGATTCATGTCCTTGACTCTTTGCTGGTCAACCACAAGTCTGATGAAGGTGGATCAATTTTAACTGAAAAGAGTTAACCTCCCTTGGGCAAACTATATGTGAACAGATTATGGGTAGACATAAAGTCTCCTTTAAAACATGGAATTAAATGCAAGTTTTGGCACCTAGAGGTGTAAGGTAATGAAAAGTGAATGAGTTTTCCTTTAAGGTAGTTTGTAGTTGTAGTTTCTGAACGTATTCATTTCTCAGTGCAATCTATTGCTTTGTGTTTTAACTCTCTGCCCTGCTCATTTATAAAGGAAAAAAAAAAAAAAAAAAAAAAAACTATCCCAGACTAGTATTAACAATTACAGTGAAGTATGATAATGTGGTTTATAGTTCTTAAAGCCAGATAAGAATAATCAATGAAAAACTTGAAAAGTAGAAAGGCCATAGTAAGGTTTAAAAAGGCCAGGAACATCATTGTGGCTATAAATCTTATACATATTTTAACCAAATACTAAGTGGTACACAAATGGGCTTGTGCCACTCCATACAGAGATGAGCCAAATGCTAATTTGGCTAAGCGCACTACGCCAGGTCTTCCTTTGTTATGTAATCAGTTTTATCTGTTGCAGTAAAGATTCCCTTTTCATCAATTAATGTGAACGCAAAGCTGTTACTAGAAATGTGGCAATTGATTCATTCATTCATTCAAGCATTCATTCAACAAACATGTGATAACAACTTAGTAGGTGCCAAATGCTAGGGAAACAAAAGTGAATAATCCTGCCCTAGCCCTCAAGGAGCTACGATCTAGTGGGGAAAAAAGGCAGTATTCATACAATGTTAGTATCATGTGATATAAAAGTAAATTCAAGGACCTATGGGCTCCCCGCATGGGTAGAGAAAACTCTCATTCAGCTTTAAGTCATCAGAAAATGCTTTCCAGTGGATATTCTATCTAAACTGAGTCCTGAAAGTTCATTAGTGATTAGCTCAGTCAAGTCTTCAGTAGGGAAAGAAAGATACTCTAGACAGGGAAGAAAATATATAAAAACCTTGAAAGTAAAGGCACCATGGCCTGCTTGGTGGATTAAAATAGGAGCGCAGGGTATTATGAGGGAGAGAGGTGGGAGGACATGTAAGGCTGAATAAGTAAACAAGGTGCCGATGATGAAACGTCTAGCATGTCATGTTAAACTGGTACAGCTTTGAAAGGAGAGCAACGTAAGTTCTAGATCACTCTGGCTGTAGTGCCATATTTGAACAAGACCAAATAAAGATGACTCAAGGGTCTAAAGCTGTAATATAGGCAAAGATTGGTCAGAAATGGGGAGATAATACGTATGGGAATAGTAAATAAGATTATTGGTTTATTTGATTGGAGGCACTAAAGAAAAGTGAAAAATCAGGCAAGGTTGCCTCCACTAGAAGATAGGTAAGAATGAAGGAAAAGGCAAGAGCTTGAGGTAAAGGCTCATGAATTCAGTTTTAGACACATGGAGAGCCTATGGTGCCTCCAGGACATTCATGTTGATGTTAAGATTCTGCAGACGTAAGGAAGACGCAGGTTCGTCAGAGAGATTATGAAATGGTAACCAAATAGATGGTTATTGAAACTGAGAATAGACAAGCTTGCCAAGGAAGTATGTGAAATAAGAA
Organism: Homo sapiens; assembly: GCF_000001405.40. Taxonomy (NCBI): domain Eukaryota; kingdom Metazoa; phylum Chordata; class Mammalia; order Primates; family Hominidae; genus Homo; species Homo sapiens. The sequence continues at coordinate 99,816,276 of NC_000011.10, read as the reverse complement.
ATAGGGTGTTGAAAATGGAATTTTGACCAACATTAGCATTTTTTTTGAAGAAAAGCAGAGCTACTCGAATCTGGAAAGGGAAGGAAAAAAGTAGGAAAGTGGAATGTCACAAAGTGAAAGGAAGCGAAAGTCTTTCAATACAGACAAGGAAGCATTCAATAGTTTTGAAGATCAGTGTTCTCTAGCTATAGTCTATTAATAGTTGAATTTAAATTGGGGGTTAGAGAGGTTAGTCTGTTAAAATAATTGATGGTGAAGGGCAGTGTAGTTGAAGGCTCACTGAAGGAAGTGAATAATGTTATGGACCACGGACTCTAACCCGGTGAGGGAGGGAATTGAAGAAATAGATGCAAGGTGCAGAAACTGAAAGGGTGTTAAAATCAGTCTATTTTAAGTATTGAAGGAGTTGGGATCCTAGACAAAAAGAGATGGAATAATAAGATGAAATAGACAGAAATGCCAATACTTGAATTTCAACAGAGAAAGTGGATTCAGTTATGTTTCATCCTCAACAGAGACCCACTTTTGTTAAATCAATTCAAGTGGATTAGGTGTGGAGAAGATGGTCCTGCAGAGGGTGTGCACACAGCAGTATCATAGCTTCCTGCCTGCTCCACACAGGGCACTGCACACAGATTTCAGTAAAAGTGAGTTCAGACATAAGGGATGAAGAGGCCTTTTCAAGATCTGGACATGGTCTGGAACCCCCTGCATTACCATTTCCATTCTATTTGACAAATAAGCCCAGTCCTTAGAAAGTGGCTTTCATCAGTCGTATGGTCTTAGTGCAACTGATTTACAGTATTGTGGGGTCTCCTCCTCTCTCAGGGATATTTTTAACTCTCCAACTTGGTGCCCTCTTAGCTGCCCAGCCCTTTTCTATGACATATCCTCAGAGTTTCCCCACTCCTCAGTCTTAGTTCTGAGGATTCTCATCTCTGAAAATATATTAGCATAAATAAGTGGGAAATGTTGTTTCATTGATAGGACTTTATCTAACGCTCAACTTTGTGAGACTAAATTAAATTAACAAATGCAGAAATCTGTTGAGGGTGGAATATAGCTGCATCCCCTTGCTACATTTAAGTGTGTTTTTCTGTACATCTTATATTATTTAATATGGTTAGACTTTGTGTCCCCACCCAAATCCCATCTTGAATTATAATCTCCGTAATCCTCATAATCCCCAGGTGTGAAGGCAGAAACCAAACGGAGGTAAATGAGTCAGGGGGGCAGTTTCCCCCGTGCTGTTCTTGTGATAGTGAGTTCTCATGAGAGCTGATGGTTTTATAAGTGTTTGTCAAGATCCACCTTCAGTCAATTCTCTCTACTGCCACCTTGTGAAGAAGGTGCCTGCCTCCCCTTTGCCTTCCATCATGATTGTAAGTTTCCTGAGGCCACGCTAGCCACATGGAGCTGTGAGTCAATTAAATCTCTCCCTTATAATCACTCAGTTTGGAGACGTTCTCTATAGCAGGGTGGAGACAGACTAATACATAATTTCATCTCTTTCTGTTTGGCATCTCAACTACTTCAAGACCTACAATCTACTGATCCTAACACTCTTTCACTCTCTTTCACCCTGCTCTCATTTCCTCAACTCCCTCCATTTCCAGGTTAAAGTTCATAATTCGTAACCTTACTCAATTCCTTCAATGCACCTTCAGGCACACTGCTCTTCACCCTGGACTGTTTTTTTCCCAGGCTAACTCTCTCCCCTGCTAATTTAAGTCCAACTGTCGACACACTCTGTAGCCAAAGAATACAGTATCATGCTGAAAGAACTCAATGTGTGATAACTGACTTCCAGTGGGCTTTGTGAGATTCCAAGAAACACTACTTCATTTTCCTGGTCCATTTACTCTCCCATAATACAGGATGGATAATTAACATCTTAGCCTCTCTCCTCAAACCCATACCTTTCTGACCTTCTTGATGGTGCTGCTTTCTATTTTATTAAGAAAATAGAGGCAATCAGAAGAGACAGTCCCTCACATGCTCCCACCATCTGCCTGTACACGCATACACTCAGCCTTGTTTCATTAATATGAGCTGAGTCACATGAATGATGTCTGTACATCTCTTAAAGGCCAATCCCTGTATTTGTGTATGTTGAATTCCATTCCATCTTCACTGTTCAAGGACATCTCTCCAGATGATTCCTTCTGTCTCTCTTTCAGCATCAATTTTTTGTATGCTTGTTAGAATGTTCTCATAACTATATAAAAAGTTCTCTTTTAAATAAAATTATCATGACCTTATCATTTCTCTCACCTAATTTTTATTACAACAAGACTCCTTAGAAGTGCTGTATATGGTAAAAGTATTCAATTATTATCCCCCCTTCTTCCCTTGAACTTTTATAAGATCTCTTGCTTATATCATTCCACAATGTCTCTCTTTAAAGATAAAAATTACCAAGATATTGCTAAGTTTAAGGACCATTTTTTGCTACATTAAACCTATTAGGAGTGTATGACACAGTTATTTCTTTTTCCTTTGAATATTGTCTTTATGTAATTCCAAGATACCACAACCTTATGTCTTTATCCCTATTTCACTGGAAACTTTTTATCTCCTTTTCTAGTTCTTTGTCTCCTCAATGTTGGCACACCCTAGGAAACATTTTTCTCTATCTAAAGTACCCTTTAAATGATCAACTCCCTCCCAGAGGAATTTCATCTTTAGTCTCAGTTACTTGAACTCACTTCTGTCTTTGATATTCCAATATTTTCCTATGCTCTTTTAAACTCCTACTTTTAGTAAAACAAAACAAAACAAAACAAAAACCTCTCTACTCTCTTTTTGTGGTTTTGCTTCAGATCCTAACAATTTCCACACTTCTGTCATGGAAAGGTGTCTTCTAAGATAGACCATTTGGTAAATCATACTCAGGATTCAGAAACTGTTTTTATTCATCACCCCAAGAGCTGTCACTTAAAGAAATAGCAGAGTAGGTTTGATCTAAATTTTAGGCTCAGAATTCAGAGGCTCAGTGAAATAGAAATATTGAGTGATGCTCTGATGGGGTCTGGACCAGACTCCTTGTACACATAATCCCTCGCATTCTTTCAGCAACCTCTAACATTCTTTTTTCCAAGTTTTCTCATTCAACCTTCACTGATATTTTTTCAATAACTTTTTAATGAATGCCTACGATGGGTTAGGAACAGGTGATATGGCCATGAATAAACCACAAATGATACCTGACTTGTGGAATTTACAATCTGGGAGTATTGGTGGAGGATTTTACCAATTGGTAAATTGGTAAGATTTTACCAGTTGGTAAAATATTAGTAGAGGAACATTAAACAAACAAAATTATTCTAAAAATTTATAAAACCAAGAACTATAATACATGTAATAAACATAAAGGAGAAAAAAAAAGCAGAGTGCCTTTGAATGAAAACTTGCCAACATCTTGTATTCTTACAGTACCGCCATCATCGCTCAGTTCCTGGGAATAAAAGCTCCACGCTTGGCTACGATGCATATATCCTCCTCCTCCATCTTGGCCACGCATTTTACTGAATGAAATTTTTGGGTGAGATTAGCTCTGTCAGTAAATCTGTTTGCAATAGAGGTTCCAAAGTCAGATGGCATGAATTCAAATCTAGATTCCACATCGTAATATCTCTGTGCCTTTGAGCAAGAGAGGAATAGCTCTGTGATTTAGCTTCCTTGACTTTAGATTGAGGATAACAACAGGAATTCCCTCATAGATTGTTGTAAAGATCAAATAAAGTAATATACAGAAAACAGTTGAAACTATGCTTGCCTGATAGTAAGAACTCAATACATTTTCTATATTATTTTTTGTTATTATTATCTAGAGTTTAGTTATTATCCTGTACCACTCTTGTGGGTATAACTGAATACTGAGTTTACCCTTTCCAGCTTTGACTGGGTCACAAAATGAGAATATGAATACCGAATTGTCATATTCATTTTACCCTGAGGAACTGAAAAAGTGAAGAGCAGAAAGGAAATGATTACATTTTTTATTTTCCTAACAGGTGTATTCCCAAAAACAAATTCTAAAAGAAAAGTTTTGGATATGAATAGACTCTATATATCTACAGAAAACTCCACAAGTATATATTCTTGTGATTCTATTGGCTAGAGCAACATGTACCCATCTTTTCTCCATATTCCTGTTCAGGGTTTGAAAGGAAGAACTCAGTGTGTGATAACTGACTTCCAGTAGGCCTTTTGAGTTTCCAAGAAATACTACTTCACTTTCCTGGTCCATTTATTCTCCCATCATACAGGACGGATAATTAGCATCTTACCCACTCTCCTCAAACCCATACCTTTTTCTTTTCAGAGAAAAATTTTCATCAGTTGCTCAGTCTTTTAATAAATAACTATGCTGAAGATGTCAGCTAAATCTAGTTACATGTTAATCATTTCTTTTTCTATTTTCTCACTTTTTGTAGGTTAGACCTTAGGGAGCATGTGTTAAAGTTATTTCTAAAGTGGCCCAGAGATTTTGTGATAAAACTCAATTAACCTGGTGCTCTCACACCATGAAATTCCAGCTGGAGGTTGGGTAGGAGTAAATATTAATACCTTCATTAAATATTTCCTAATATAATGACCCTGGGACAACTGAACTTGCATTATTTAATAAAACTGTACTCCATTAAGTCAGAATGACATTGCCACCACTTTCAGTCCTTGGAACTAATAGCATTCTTTTCCATTAAATAAAAGGTCATTTTAGAGATCATAACATTGCCATCCAATGTAAATAATATTAACAAAATATTAATATTATAAATATAATAGTTATAATATTAAAATATAAATATTATAAATAAAATATTAACAAAATAATGGATTAGAATATGCAGAACTAAAATTCTTTATGGCAATATTTATGAAGAAGATAAAATAAAATGTCAATATGATAAAAATATATTTTAAAGTATTTAATCACTTGCTATCATCAAAATATTCCTGAATTTTCTGACACCAATAAAACTTCAGAATTCTATTTCCGTCCCTAAATATGAGAGGTATGTTTACAAGAAAATTTACCGCTCCTAAAATATTGATTGATAAAACTGTATTATCACTATTGGACTCTGTATCTGAATCTTTTCTATCGACTCCCGACACAATGCTGTTAAGTTTTACTGGTACAGAAGAGTGAGCAACACCCACAAGTCATGAAATGACAGATATTCATATAAATCATGTATTCCCTACTTTTGAAGTTTGATTTTAAATGTCTGTTTAGGCTCTTGTGTAAAAATATAAATAAATTATAGTACCAAATGATGTGTGATGCTCTTGAGAGCATAATATTCTTGAGAATATTCCATCATCAACTTATATGTCAGACAGCAAAGAGTGGCACTATGTATTCATGACAGAGTATACAGAAAAAAACAGAAGACATACAATATCCAAGCCTGCAGTGTGACTCCATTTGGCATCAAAGTCAGCATAAAGAAATCTGATACCTGACCTTTTTCAAAGTAATTGCTAAGGCTGTCCTCTCTTTGATGAGAATTAATGTTAACTCTGCAATTTTGGCCTGCTACTGTTTTATGAAGCTTGCAAGGATGGATGAAACACCTCAGCAAAGCCAGTCGTGTGGAGAATATTTAGAAATGGTTAATAATTTACAAATAATGTGCATCATTTCAATTTGGTTGTCTGCATCTATGGCATATGAGAGTTTGAAATAGCCCAAATCAGATGTACTCTATGTCTCAACTCAGCACTTTCTCCAAGAAATGTATTATGTGTAAAGTTTACAGTGTTGTAGCTTCAAGAGCAAAAAGCATATGCAGAGGATGAAATACACGATTTTTAAAGCACTGGAGTCAGGCATTTAAACTTTGATAGTTCCAAGATACAAGAAAAAAAGTTAACGGCACTGCATTCCTGGTATTCCTTGCATAAGACTGAAAAAATAGACATATTTACAAGGGAAAAGAAGCGTGATTTGAAATTATTTCTACAACTGATACTCAGGTATGCTGTAAATATTTGTAGTCATAATTATGTAAGATTTGGATAACTTTGTCTTTTCTAAATAGTAAATTCTTAGTTGTATTCACAGATAGAGCATGAACATTGTTACAAATTAAACTGGGTATTATAGACTTTTATTGCCAAAAAGGAGATTCTAACAGTTTTCTTGTTTTGTATTTTTTCATGGCTGTTAAGTTTTTAAAAACCTATAGTGTTATGATGCTATCTTTTTAAATCACCAAGAGCATAATATATGGTTGCATTAAATTAATATTTCCCTCACAATATGAATATGAATCACTGAGGAAATTAGCAAAGGCAGGAGCTAGTTGAGAAATATAACCAAATTAATTTAGTGATTAAAGAATTCCCTCTTGTTTTGGATAATTAAAGATTTCAGTAAAGTTTTAACTGTAATGATTATATTAGCTTTTACTTTCCTATTCTCTGTGTGTTTAAGATAGATCAGACAGTATTTTATAACAAATCAAAAAAAGCTAGCATTGCTTAGCAATTAGAAAATAATTACACAAAATGTATTTCCTCCCAATTTTAGAAACAATTCTGTGGGCAAGTTGTGCTTTTACATATGCAGTTATATTAAAAATAAACATGTGTTTCATTATGTTCAGTATCAAGTTCAGTGTTTCCTATGGTGCCGTGTAGAACATAGAATCTGTAAAAGGTGGGTGTACTCATTCAATTCTGGATTTAGGAATGGAATTCAAGATGGCTAATTATATAATGGAATCCTAGATGGCCAAAAATAATTATGACATTTTTGGACATAGACACAAATAATGCAATATAGGATTTAAAATTTATTTAACGTGAAATGATTATTATATATCCCACATTAAAAGGTAACTATGGAAATTTTTAAAAAGTATAATAAAACATACAATCTTTGCCTTCAAGGAGTTCTTATAAACTAAGAGAAAAAAAATAAACCTCAAGGAGATCACTTTATAATCATGGAATTTCAACAAAACTTAGCAACAGAGCCACTCAGATAAAACTATACTCACAATTTGTTTTAGCGAAAAGGCTTAGTTGTTTTCAAATTGGGGCTATAAGTGAATTTATTTTTACACTTAATAGAAGCATATAGCATTAAGAGGGTCTGACATCATTCTCCCCCATAGAGTAAACAAAAATTTTTCCCGGGCCTGGGGGAGTCCTCACTCCACATGGGTACTATCTTGGGCAGATGTGTGTCTGTAAACAAGATGGTAGGGACAAAGGAAGTTGTGTCTTCCTACTTGTGTGGGTACACTGGCTCCTGCTTGTGTAGCTGCTCTGAGCAAATAAACTTCTTTATATTTTACCATTAAAGAAAACCCTATGCTTATAATCTTTAGCTGTCCGTTACTGTCTTTCCAGTGATCACAGGCTCACTGTGATGCTCAAGTCACAAGGCACAATCTTAAAAGGGAGAGAGGAATAGGTGCATAATAGGATTACTGTTCAAGCTAACTCATGTTGGAGCATCTAGTAAGAAGCAGCTGATACCAAGAAAAAGTGCTTGGCAGTAGAGGTGAAATTTGAATCGAGCTTTGGCGATTTCTCACAAATGGGAATATGGATATTGGAAATATGTTTATGGTTTTTATTTTGCTACCCAGCACGTGAAAAAGTTGCCTAGGAATCCCTGCAAGGTGAGTTAGTTATTGAAGTCCCCGAGTGATTTTTTTCTATGGCAATTTTTCTTCAAAAGCAGACCTACAGCTTTGACCCTAGGAATTACAGGTTACTGAGGCACATGCAGGAGTAAATGGGAAACTGTGCAACTAACAGCAATTTCTTCAAAGAAAAGATATCAAAAGAAAATTTCCCAATGACATTTTTAGCTAAGTTAGGTGAGTTTTCATTTAACAGATTAAATACCTGTAAAAGTCCATTTAAATTCACTCATCTGCTGTGGTTGTGATTTTTGTAGCCTCAACTGACAGCACATTTAAGTCCAGTTACTTAAATTGAAACAAAGACATCAAGTGGGCTAAAATATTGCAGCCTGATTTAATATGTCACTCTCATCATCAGTGTCCACACATTTGCCTCATCCATAGTATTTGCACAATATTCAACAAAACCTTAATGTCAGAAAGCAACTTCCAGCTGTGGAACTGCTGTTTCTTGGCTAAGTTATGTATGCATCACAAATTCTACTACTTCTCAAGTCAAAAGTTTTACAAATGAATTCAATTCAAAGCAGTATAGTACCCTTCCAAATCGGTATGAGAATCAGCTAACATGTATTTCTCTTGGTGTTGCCTTCAGGGTCACAGAAGGTCCCTACGCCTAATTCTTTCCCTTAGGGAATAAGTTACAGGGTTCAGATCCAAAACGGTGGTACCTGAAGAGTCCTCTGAATTCTAGTTTTAAATATTCTCATTATAAACAAATATATGCGCACTACAGAACAAAATCATCTCTGATCTTGATATCCAGAAACAGAATACTCTGCAAAAACAAACTTGGATTTATCTTCATTTGATTTATGGAGAGATATGCCAACAGAGACACAGGCAGACTTTTTGTTTTGTTTGAAGAAAACTGGAATCAGTTTGTACACGTAATTTTCTAATTTTTATTTAATATTATATTGTGGCTGGGCATGGTAGTGCATGCCTGTAATACCAGCTATTTAGGAGGCTGAGACAGGAGAATTACTTCAACTGGGAGGTGGTGGTTGCAGTGAACCAAGATCAGGTCACTGCACTCCTGCCTGGGCAACAGAGTGAGGCTCCATCTTAAAACACACACACATATATATAAATTATAATTATGTAACTCTGTTACAAATGTCCTTCAGAAGCATTTAATTAATTATATATTTCAATTATGTGTTTTGTTAAAACTTCTTCAACCCTATCCCTATAGATGAATTTATCTGTCATATATAACCAAACAGGAATACCCCTGTACATAAATCTTTGTGACTATTACTGTAATTTCCTAGGAATATCAGAGAAGCAGAATTTCTGAAGTGAAAATAGCTACTGCTAAAACTGTTTTCTAGAATTTTTGACTTAATATTTAGACTCCTGTTAGCATCATAAAAGAGCAATATTTTCTTTATGTTATTTTGCATACCATTTTATTAGATGATGGCTAAGATCTATTATCTTTTTTTTACTTTCTACAAATATTATAGTGGAAATCATATTTCATTAGATTTGCACTTTATTAGACACATATTTTTCCATGTATACATATTTCATCATTAAATTATATATCAAATATTTTCTTTTATCCTATTGAGTTCTGATTTGTTTTCCTTGATTCTTAAAAGCACTTTATACACTGATGATTAAGGATTTCATTTACCGTAGTGTTTTGCTTCCAATTTGATAATAGCATACTCTGAAGAAAAGGTTTACATTGTTATCTTGCAAGAACTAATTGATCATTTTATGATTGATTTATTTATGTATTTATGTATCTAATGTATCTATTTTTTTTTTTTTTTGCAGGGGGTGGGGGAAGAGTCTTGCTCTGTCGCCCAGGCTGGAATGCAGTAGCACAATCTTGGCTCACTGCCACCTCTGCCTCCCAGGTTCAAGGGATTCTCCTGCCTCAGCCTCCCAAGTAGCTGGGATTAGAGGTGCGCGCCACCACACCTGACTAATTTTCGTATTTTTAGCAGAGACAGGGTTTCACCATGTTGGCCAAGCTGGTCTTGAACTCCTGACCTCATGATCTGCCCACCTCAGCCTCCCAGGGTGCTAGGATTACAGCCATGAGCCACTGCACACGACCTATTTTGTCTTTTGAATTTTCTTATTAAAAGTTAAAAAAAATGGATTCAGAAATATCAGTCAGAATAACTCTAAAGACAATACACACACACACTCACTCACATACATAGTATTTATATATTTACTTTCTTCCATGGCACTTTTATAAGTAAATTTAGTGGGGGATTCATATTAGCTGACACACTTCATTTATTTTTTTAGGGGATAAGGACAAATAATTTTCAAGTAAATACTATGTAAAATTCCAAAAAATAAAGAATATCTAAGAGATGAGATACCAATTTATTTTATTCTTAGGTCAGGTACAATACTGTGTGAGCTTAAGAAGATTAGTTTGTCATTGGAGGGAGAAAGTCAGTGAATATTTAGTCCAAATTAATAAGGAATGAATTTAAGTCAAATCTGCAGGCAAAGAAAAAAAAGTTCACTTGTACTCTCTGAGAAGAGACGTTCAAGGCTAATGTGGCTCTATGTGGTTTTACAATAAAGACACAATGCTTTAAAGAAACAATGCTTGAAAATGTGTATTACTAGTGACACCTCACATGCTGTCCAAATATTTCTTTACTACATTTTGAGATTGTCCCTAAGCCCATTTAACAGCTTAGTGCTGAACACACTGTACTGTGGTTACAATTTTTAATTTCATGACAATGCAAAAAATTCTGGCTTTTTAGGTGACATTTTTCCTCTCCTTTTAGAAAATGACAGTTGGTCAGTGGCTAAGGCTCAATGACATTTATCAGCTACCTAATTAAAATGTAGACACTTGTATAATAATTGCAAATGTGACCTTCATTTGTGTATTTTTGCTTGCTAGCATGTTTAGCCAAATGTCACAAAGAACCCTAATTCATTCTTTCCCGTAATGTTTAATTATATCATATTGAAAGTGTTCATTCCTTGGTCACCATGGTTTATGAAAGCACACTACTTCCCCTGGAGGGTGGGGAGCTATAGTTCCAATACCCTAATGAGTAGTGATTGCAAGGCTGTGTCTACAGCTGCCAAAACAACTAGCTGAAAATAGTTCAATTAACAAGTTAGTTTGCCTTCATGATGACAAACAATATTTCTAATTTTTTTCTCTATATAAACAAAGGTTTATAGACATAGGTTGATTGTTTCGGTTTTCTGTAAAAATAGCTCAGATCTCTCCTCTGACCTTCGGGCTTTTTTATGTAATTGCCTAGGTGAAACACCCGGATGTTCCACAGACATTGGTAAATTTAACCCAACCTCCAGAAGTTCCAAGTTCTATCTTCTCTATACCCATTAGCACTGCTCTAGTTAACTATGTTTTCCTAATTTTTGCCCAGATCCTTCCAGTCTATACTCCACAATTCCATGAAAGTAATGTTTCTGATCATGTTACAGGCCTGACCAAAATACTGCACTTATTCTTTCAAACCTTTAAACCAAAGCACAATTTTCTTCTGAGAAAGACTCTCTTTGTCGAAATTTATATATTCCATTTCCTGTTTTCTCTCAGACTTTAATTCCTCAATAAACAGTTACCTATGGTTTCTCAAATAGATGAGGCCATGTTTTGTTTTCAGCCTTTGAACTTGCTATTTTTCTAATCCTGTTATATGTTCCATCATGAAGCACTGAATATTTTATAAAAATGTAATGTTGGTGGTTTTTCTCATATATATGTATAATATATATGTGTATATATTTTATATGTATATACATATAAAATAGTTATTTAAAAAGTAAAATTCATAAATCATTTTACCATATTCTGTAAGATGTACTTCTATCTATAAACATAGACTCAAACACATTTAGTATATACATTTATTTTTATTATATCTTTAAAATATTCTATTCCTTCCATATTAAGAGTTTCTGCCATATTAGCTAACGATTAAGGGGCTTATGTAAAGAATTTTACTTTGCAAAGATGTAAGAATTATATTTGAAGGTATTTATAAGATTATAAAAATAAAATTAAATGTAATATCATACTTTACTGAGTTTTTTTTTTTCTATCTCAAAAATTATACCGTATTGTAGACTCATGGCTTTAGGTGAACTAATAGAATTGAGGGGATTGACATGTTCAGTATAAAGTTAGAGTTCAGAAAGTAATTTTGAAGAGTAAAATGGTTTAAAAATCTAATTTTTTAAAAGACAACTTGCACTATTCCTAAATATCACATTATGTTTTTGTTAACTGACTGAGTTGACATTAAGGTTTTCTCTGTAAGTAGTAATCTAGGAAACACATTTTGCAAGCTAGGGTACACATTTGGTAAATGACTTTCCTTTAATCAACTTATCAAGTAACTTTTTCCAAATAAATGTATCTACCATATTGTAAAACACATTATTATTCATATTTAATTTTATAAATTATTTTTATTCAGTATACTGTAACTATATTGACTGAAAACCACCAGCCTTTTGGTATAAAAAGTAGAAGATTTGGGCATTTTGTACTTGAGTATTTTCTGACATGTGCTGTCATTACATTTTTATAAAACAAACAAACAAAAAAGACTTTAAAGACCCCACTAAGAGTTTACTCATAGTTTTTCATCTCATTTTTAAAAACCCAAGATGGTAGATTAGAGAATTTTAAGATGTCTCAGCCACTTGGAAAGAGCAAGAGTTCGTAAAGATCAATTCTGTGAGCTTTAATTCAAGAAGGAAAACAGAAATCCACCAGAAAAGTGAAGGACAACTCAGATCTCAGGGAAGAGAGCACTGTAACGGGACGTAGCTCATAAAAGTAAGTGAAACCCCAGCACATGAGAGAAACATACAGCCACCCTCTGTGATTCACCTTTCCAATGGAATCCAAGAAACCCAGGAAAAGGGAGGGCACTTTGTTTCTCCTATGCCCTGGGGCTAACTTAGAGAGCTAATTTACGGAGAGGATCTAGGAGCAACATAGTGTTCTCCCTTGTCCAAAACAGTAGACACTGTCAGGAAAAGACACCAGCAAAAACTGTGGGCATTTTCCCAAACTCAGGACCAAGAGCAGGATGCCATTTTTAATCTGGGCACATACAAAGTCAGTAATTCTTTAGTGACCCAGCAGTGTGGCTGCACAGGCATTTTAGTCCTGGGCCAGAGCTTGGGTCACCTGCTCTAAAGTAGGGTAAGGACCTCCAGTCAGAATTATGAAAAGGCACTGGAATTATGCTGTCCCTCATCACAGGCCTAGGGTGGGAGAAGAGCTACTACAGCTGTGGTTTCTCCAGGGTAACAAGACCTGCAGCCAGGGCCAGCTCGGTGAACTGGAACTCATCTGGGTATCATTGCTGGGTGTTCCAACTGACTCCCTTGAGATCGTGGTGCAGCAGGGCCCTCTCTACTCCATGCTCAGGAAGATCTCCATGCATTTTCAGCAGCTGCTCACCTGGGTCAACAGCCTGAACCACCCCGTCCTTTCTGGACACAGATCATGGTGCAGGGGGGCACTATTTGCTCTATGCCCAGGCAGATCTTCAGACATTTGGAATATCCATTCACCTGGATCACCAGCTTGAGCCTCCACACCCTTCCTGAACACAGACTGTGGTGCAGCAGGACCCTCTCCACTCCATGCCTAGGCAGGTCTCCAGGTGTTCAAAACACCGGCTCACCAGGATTGGCAGCCTGAGCCATGCCACCTTTCCTGTGCATAGATGGTGTTGCATTAGAGCCCTCTCCACTCCACATTCAGGCATATTTCCAAGCATTTGGAGTACCTACTCACCTGGAACAGCTTCCTGAGTCACCCCATCTCTTTTGTGAAGAGATCCCGGTGCAGGGGACCCCTCTGCATGGCATGTCCAGGTAGGTCTCCAGGCATTCACAGAACCTATCTGCCTGGATAAGCAGGCTGAGTCACCCTGTCATCCCTGTGCAGACTGTGGCACAGCAAGGCCTCTACAGTCAATGCACAGGCAGACCTCCAGGCCTCTTGAACAGTCACTTTCCTAGATTAGGAGTTTAGGTTTCCTTCCAACCCCCGACTCCAACCTTGTACATAGAACATGGAACTGAGAAGGTTTCACAGCTCCATGCTGAGGCACACCTCTGGGCACTTGGTGGCCACCCAGTGGTTTCTCCCTTGCAAACGGCACTATTAATGGCAGTCCCTTGCCTGCCATTAGGGGACATGTAGGTGAGCCTTCCTGGTTTGGACAAGCACATCTTTCCCCCTACCCTCCAGAGTTAATCAGGCAGTTCAGAAAACTGTGTACTCCACAAATCAGCTCATTCCCTGAGGCAGCAGAGACAATCTCCTAATAAACCAGGATCAAGTAGCTACCCAGTATGTTAGCTGTAACTGTCTCTTACCCATAGCACAAACTACAGGCCTGTAGGTCAAACTGAACAGCCCAATTTAAAACGTGTTGACAGAAAAATATAGGTCTATAGAAGAACAGACAAAAAATTCTACTCAATATTCTCTACAGTCATACACCCTGGGTGGAGAACAAGAAAAGGAAAATTAAAAACAAAACAATAATATTGTGGGAAAACGAAGAGAAAACCCTAATGCACAAATTACAAATATTAGAAATCCCAGTATCTCCAGATGAGAAGGAATCAGCTCCAGAATTCTGGCACCATAAAAAATATGAATGCTTTGGGGGCATTCACATGCCAAGGACAGGTAAGAATTTCAAAGCATGGATTGCAAGAAAGTCCAAAGATATCCAAAGAGAAGGTTGAAAATCAACACAGAGAAACTACTAAAGCAATACAGGAATAGAAGGAAGAGATAAACATCTTTAAAAAAATATCAGAGCTTCTTGAATTGAAACTTACTTAAGGAATTTCAAAATAGAATTGAAATATTTATCAATAGACTGCACCAAGCACAAGAAAGAATTTCACAGCTTAAACCGATCTTTTCAAATAAGCCAGTGAGACAAAAACATAAATTTAAAAAAGAGTTAAAAAAAGTTGTCAAGAAATATGGAATCACATAAAGCAACCAAACTTATGAATTATTTGCATTCCTGAAAGAAAAGGAGAAAATGTAAATTATCTGGAAAACATATTTAAGAGAGTAATTCAAGAAAATGTTGCTAATAGTCTTGGAAAGGTAGACATCCACATACAAGAAATCCAGAGAACAACTGCAAGATACTACAGAAAATGAACATCTCCAAGCTATATAGTAATCACACTGTCCAAAGTCAATGCTAAGGAAAAAAATTAAAGGCAGCTAGAGAAACATGTTAGATTACATACAAAGAGGACCTCATCAGATTAACTGCAGACTTCTCAGCAGAAACATTACAAGCCAGGAGAGACTGGAGGCCTATTTTCAGCATTCTTAAAGAATAAAAATTGTAACTAAGAATTTCATATCTCACCAAACTGAACTTCATACATGAAACATAATAAAATCTTTTGCAGACGAGCAAGCCCTAAGGGAATTCATTAGCACTAGGCCAGCCTTGTAAGAGGCTCTTACGGTAGTAATAACACGGAAATGAGAAAAACAAAACAAAACATACTTGCTACTGCAGAAGCACACTTAAGTACATAACCCACAGAAACTATAAAGCAACCACACAATAAAACCTTCAAAACTATCAGTTAACAACTTCATGACAGTATCAAAACTTCACATATCAATATTAATCTTGAAGACAGAAGGTCTAAATGCTGTACTTAAAAGGAACAGAGTGGCAATTTGAATAAAATAAAAAAAGACAACCCATCTGCCAGCTGTCTTCAAAAGAACCATCCCACATGAAACAACACCCACAGGTTCAGTGTAAAAGACTTAAGGAAGATCGGTTAAACAATTAGAAAATAAAAAAGAAACATTATTTTTACATAAAAACATACTTTAAACCAACAGCAGTAAAAAAAGGGACAAAGAAATGCATTACATAATGATAAAAAGTTCAATTTAACAAGAAGACTCAACTATTCATCAAACATTAGAGCACTTTTAGTCATAAAAGAAGTACTTTTAGACCTCTGATAGACTTAGGCAGCTACATGATAATAGTGGAGGAATTTAACACTCTACTGACAGCATCAGACAGATCATCAAGGCCCAAAACTAACAAAGAAATCCCAGACCTAACAGTTGAACAAATGGACCTAATTGACATCTACAGAATATTCCACATATGAATCGCAGAGTATAAATTCTTCACATCTACACATGAAACATACTTCAACATCAACTACATGCTGGGTCATAATGCAAGTCTCAGTAAGTTAACTAAATGAAATTATAGCAACCATATTCTCAGAGAACAGAATAAAAATAGAAATCAATACCAAGAAGTCCTCTCAAAACCAAGTATTAGACAATTTTCTCCTGAATGACTTTTAAGTAAACAATGAAATTAAAGCAGAAATATAAAACTTCTATGAAATAAATGAAAACACTGACACAACATACCAAAATCTCTGGGATGCAAAAACAGCAGCGTTAAAAACAAAGTTTATTACACTAAATATCTATCATAAAAAGTTAGAAAAAAACAGAAACAATGTAACATACCAGATAGAGGAACTAGAATAACAAGAACTAGAAAACCTAGAGGGAATGCATAAATTCCTGGAAAACACATAATATCTCAAAATTGAATCAGAGAGAAATGGAAACCCTCAACAGACTAATATCAATTTCTGACATGGAATTAGTAATAGCAAACCCACCAACCAAAATAAGCCCAGAGCAGATGGATTCACAGCCAAATTCCACAAGATATACAAAGAAGAGCTGGTACCAATTCTACCCAATTTTTTCCAAAAAATTCAAGAGGAGGGGCTTCTCCCTAACTCATTCTACAAAGGCAGCATCAACCCAAGTTACCAAAGCCTGACAAAAACACAACAAAAAAAGAAAATTACATGCCAATATCCCTGATAAACATATATGCAAAAATCCTCAACAAAACACTAGCAAACCAAATCCTACAGCTTATCAAAAAGTTAATTCTTCATGATCAAGTAGACTTCATTCCTAGGATGCAAGGTGGGTTCAGCTTACACAAATCAGTAAATGTTCACCACATGAACAGAATTAAAAACAAAAACGACATGATGATCTCAAAAGACAAGGAAGAGCATTTGATAAAATCCGGCCTTGCTTCATGATAAAAACTCTCAGAAACAAGGCATTGAATGAACATACATCAAGATAATAAAAGCCATTTATGACAAACCTACAGCTAACACCATACTGAACAGCCAAAAACTAGAAGCATTCCCCTTGAGAACTGAGATAAAATAAGGATGCGCCATTCTCACCACTCCTATTTAACATAATACTGGAAGTGCTAGCCAGAGTAATCAAGCAGAAGGAAGAAATAAAAGGCACTGAAATAGAAAAAGGTGAAGTGACATTACCTCTCTTTGCCAATAATATGATTCTATACATAGAAACCCCAAGGCTTCAGGAACTGATAAATGACCTTAGTGAAGATTCAGGTACAAAATTAATGTACAAAAATCAGTAACATTTCTATATACTAATAACAGTCAAGCTAAGACCATAACAAGAACATAATCTCATCTACAGTAGCTACATGAAAAATAAAATACCTAGGAATATCTCTAACCAAGGAGATAAAAGATCTCTACAAAGAGAACTACCAAATGCTGCTAAGAGAAATCATAGATGACACAAACAAATGGAAAAACATTCCATGCTCATTAATCGGAAAAATCAGTATCATTAAAATGGCCATACTGCCCAGAGCAAGCTGCAAATTCAATGCTATTCCTACGAACGTACAAACATCATTCTTCACAGAGCTAGAACAAATTATTTTAAAATTCATATAGAACCAAAGAAGAGCTCAAATAGCCAAAGCAATCACAAGCAAAAAGAACAAAACTGGAGGCACCACAATACCTGACTTCAAACTATAAAGGTACAGTACTCAAAACAGCTCCATGGTACTGATGTAAAAACAGACACACAAATCAATGGAACAGAATAGAGAGCCCAGAAATAACACCAAATACCCATAGCCATCTAATCTTCAACAAAGTCAACAAAAACAAGCAGTAGAAAAAGGACCTCCTGTTCAAAAAATGATGCTGGGATAGCTGTCTAACTGTACGCAGAAGAATGACCTGGACCCTTGATCTTTCACCATTTATAAAAATTAATTCAAGATAGATAAAAATTTTAATGCAAAACACCAAATTACAAGAATCCTAGAAGAAAACACTGTTCTGGACAGTAGACTTGAGGAACAATTTATCACTATGTCCTTAAATGCAATTCTACCATAGAAAAGAATGAGATCATTTCTTTTGCAGGAACATGGATTGGGCAGGAACATGGATTGCTTATCCTAAGCAAACCAATGCAAGAACAGAAAACCAAATGCCGCATCTTCTAACTTGTAAGTGGGATCCAAATGATGAGAACACATGGACACATTGAGGGAAAAACATATACTAGGGCCTATCAGACGGGGTAGGGTAGGAGGAGGGAAAGGATCAGGAAAAATAACTAATGTGTACTAAGCTTAATACATGAGTGACAAAATCATTTGTACAACAAACCTCCATGACACAAGTTTTCCTATGTAACAAACATGCACAGGTATCCTTGAACGTAAAATAAAAATTCAGTAAATATTTTTTAAAAAAAGATAAACAGGCAGAGGCTATATTTTTAAATGATTTTATTTTATTGTGGTACAATTTATAATTTCACAAATTAATGACAAAATAATAAATTATAATAAAAGTCATTCGTTTTAACTTTAAAAAATC
Organism: Homo sapiens; assembly: GCF_000001405.40. Lineage (NCBI taxonomy): Eukaryota > Metazoa > Chordata > Mammalia > Primates > Hominidae > Homo > Homo sapiens. The sequence continues at coordinate 99,797,815 of NC_000011.10, read as the reverse complement.
CTATTCCAACACACACAAAAATTGACAAGTGGGACCTAATTAAACTAAAGCGATTCTTCACAGCAAAATAAACCAGCAGAGTAAACAACCTGCAGAACGGGAGAAAATACTCACAAAAAAATGCACCTGATGAAGATCTAATATCTAAAATTTTTAAGTACTTAAAACAGATTAACAAGCAAAAAACAAATAAGCCCATTACAAAGTGGGCAAAGGACATGAACAGACACTTCTCAAAAGAAGACATACAAGTGGCCAAGAAGCCTGAAAAAATGCTTCACATCATTCATCATCATAGAAATGCTAATCAAAACCACAGTGAAACACCATCTCACACAAGTCAGAATGGCAGTTATTACAGATTCAAAAAAGTGATTTCTTAACGTTTTTTGGCTTCTTAAAGTTTGCTGGCAAGGCTGCAGTGTAAAGGGAACACTTATACACTATTGGCAGGTATGTAAATTTGCTCAGCCAACGTGAAAAACAGTTTGGAGATTTCTCAAATAACTTAAACCAGAACTACCATTCCACCTATCAGTCCCATTACTGGATACATATCCAAAGGAAAATAGATCATTTTACAAAAATTACGCCTGCACTCCTATGTTCATCACAGTAGTACACAGAATAGCAAAGGCGTGGAATCAACTTAACTGCACATCGATGGTGGATTGCATTAAGAAATGTGATACAGTGTCAAGATGGCTGACTAGATGTAGCCAGGAGGGATATCTGCCACCAAGGGCCCAGGACACAGATGTCAGGCAGAAGAGGGAGGACATGGGGAATCCTGCATGAAGCTAGGGTGCCCTGGGACTCATTCCTGGCACCCAAAGACTCCTAGGGATGGAGTGAATTGAGCAGGTGAGGAGCAGCCTGCCCTCACAACTGACCCCTGGAATCCTGGCAGCAGAAGACCACACGACCTCCAGAGACACTTGAGTTGTCAGGGAGAGCTGCTTAGAGATGTAGTAGGGGAAAAAAACCCAGCCAGTGTAGCACCCAGAGGATTTGGCACAGGAGTGTCTGCAGTGAAGCTCAGCCAGGGATGTCCATCCTCCAAGCCTTGCTGGGTTTCCCTAGGAGACTTGAGCCCTAGGAGAGCTAGTGGACCTGAAAAGAGCAGATTGATCCTGCCCCGAGATAGGACCAGTTCTACCAGAGCAGCCCCCTGTCTGCTGGCCTCACCTGGAGTTTCAGTCTGGCTGTGCCTGCTTACAGTGCAGCCTCAGATGCCCAGCCAGAGTGCCTTCTGGGGGCCCGTATCATAGCTCATATGCTGGCAGACTGCACCTGACCATCGGACAGCTCCAGCAGAGCAGCCATTTGTGAAGTGCACCAGGTCACTCGCACTTACCCCCCACCATATCCTTCCCTGTGCAACTTTGCCAGCATACACTTGCCTATGGCTACCCCCCTATCACTTTGCCAGCACACATGCATACAGGTGGACATCACCTCCCCTCCCCAATGGATGTACATGTGTGTATGCACTCCACCACGCTATGAGTGCCGGCTGGAGCACACCCTGCCACTCCCTGACTGTGCCACCATTGCTGGTGCAAATGTGCCCAGAGATTCCAGCAGACCTGTCCCCAACCCTGCACTGCCATTGCTACTGAAGTGAACGTGCACACAAATACTGCCAGCTCTGTACCTGCAAGTACCATGTCCCCATGCCAACACTGCTAGCAGTGTGATTGAGTGCACAGATGCCAGTGGCCCTGCCCCCCACCCACATTGCATTGCCACCATCACTGCTACAAACATCTGTATAGAAGCCAACACCCCACACCTGCCAGTGCCCCACCCCAGCTAATGCACATGCACTCCACCCTCTAGCATTGCTGCTGGCATGTGGGAATGAGGACAGATCCCACTGAAACTGCCTGATGAAGCACTTTGGCTGGCACATTCAACAGAGTGTTGTGATCGGTGGTCCAAAAATACCTTAGAACTGCAAGTTCCTAACCTCAATGGATCAGATAACTAAGTCAGTGACCTCATAACTGCTCTCAGGGTTACAACATGCAGCCCAGGAGTCCTGAGCCGAGTCTGAGACCCCATAAAATCTACCAGAAATGAAGACAGTTGAGTGAATCCATCTAATACCACACTCAAAGCCCCAAAGACACCAAAGAAGATAATTTTTTTAAAAAAAGATCCAAAGGGTAACAATGTCTATGATTTAAAGAACACAAGGAAGATAAATACAAAAAAAAAAAAAGATCTAAAGGATAACAGCTTCAGCGATTGAAAGAACATTAGCTCACATAGATAAGAAACAACCAGCACAACATATCTGGCAACTCACTAAGGCAGAGTTCTCCTTATATCCAAATGATCATGCTAGTTCCCCAGAAAATGATTCTTAATCAGGCTGAAATGGCTGAAATGACAGAAAAACAATTCAGAATATGGATAGGAATAAAGATCACTGAGATTCAGGAGAAAGTCAAAACCCAATCCAAAAACTCTAAGGAATACAATAAAATGATACAGAAGACAAAAGACAAAAATGCCATTTTAAGAATCAAACTGATCTGCTAGAGCTGAAAAACTCACTTCAAATATATCATAATACAATCACAAGTGTTAACAGCAGAACTGATCAAACTGAGGGCAGAATCTCTCAGCTCAAAAACCAACTCTAACAGAATGTAGTCAGACAAAAATAAAGAAAAAAGAATGAAGAAGAATGAACAATACCTCCATGAAATATGGGATTATGTATAGAAAGCAAATCTATGATTCACTGGCATCCCTTAAAAAGAGACAGAGAAAGCAAGTAACTTGAAAAACATATTTGAGGATATCCTCCATTAAAATTTCCTTAACCTTGCAATAGAGGCTAACATTCAAATTCAGGAAATGCAGAGAACCCCTGCAAGATATTATACAGGACAGCCATCTCAAAGACACATAGTCATCAGATTCTCCAAAGTTCAATGAAAGAAAAAAAGGTAAGTGGAGCTAGCAAGAAAGGATAGGTCATCTACAAAGGGAGTCCCACCAGGCTAACAGTGGGCCTTTCCACAGAAACCATACAAGCCAGAAAACATAGGGAGCCTATATTCAGCATGGTTAAAGAAAATAATTTCCAACCAAGAAGTTCATATCCAGCCAAACTAAGCATCATAAACAAAGGAAAAATAAGATTCTTTACAGATAAGTAAATGCTAAGGAAATTTGTTACCAAAAGATCTGCCTTACAAAACATCCTGAAGGAGTGCTAAATATGGAAAGGAAAGACCATTACAGCCACAACAAAAGCACACTTAAGTATACAGACCAGTGACACTATAAAGCAACCACATAAACAAGTTTGCAAAATAACCCAGCTAACAAACACGATGACAGGATTAAATCCACACATATCAATACTAATCATGAATGTAAACAGGCAAAATGCCCCAATAAAAGGCACAGAATGGAAAGTTGGATAAACAAGGAAAACCAAATAGTATGCTGTCTCAAAAGACCCATCTCACATGCAGTGACACCCATACTTTCACAGTAAAGGGATGGAGGAAAATCTACCAAGAAAATGGAAAACAGAAAAAAAAGCAATGATTGCTATTCTAATTTCAGACAAAAAAGGCTGTAAGCCTACGAAGATTAAAAAAAAAAAAAAAGACAAAGAAGGACATTACCTTACAGTAAATGGTTCAATTCAACAAAAAGACCTATCTATCCTAAATATCTATGTACCCAGCACAGGAGCACCCAGATTCAAAAGCAAGCTCTTAGAGACCTATGGAGAGATGCAGATAACCACATAATAATAATGGAAGACTACAACACACCACTGACTGTATTAGACAGATCATCGAGGCAGAAAACTAACAAAGATATTCAGGAGCTGAACTCAACACTTGAGTTAATGGAACTAATAGGCATCTACAGAACTCTCCATACAAAAACAATAGATTATGTATTCTTCTCATGTGCACATGCCACACACTCCAAAATGGACCAAAAATAATTCATAAACAATCCTAAATTATTTTTTTATAAATTGAAATCAACCACACTCTTATACCACAGCTAAATAAAAATAGAAATCAATACTAAGAGAATCATGCAAACAATCAAATTACATGAAAATTAAGCAGCTGCTCCTGAGCGACTTCTGGGCAAATGATGAAATTAAGACAGAAATCAAGGAATTTTTTGAAAGTAATGAAAAACAAAATATAGCATACAATAATCTCTGGGACACATACAAAGCAGTGTTAAGAGGGAAGCTTATAAAAATGAAACACATCCCTGAAAAATTTAGCAAGATCTCAAATTATCAACTAGAGGAACTAGAAGTACAACAGCAAATCACCCCCAAATCTAGCGGAAGACAAGAAATAAAATCAGAGCTGAAATGAAGGACACTGAGATGTGAAAAACCATACAGAAGATTAATAAACCCAGAAGCTGATTATTTTAAAAAATTAAGAAGATAGAGCCGGGCACAGTGGCTCACGCCTGTAATCCCAGCACTTTGGGAGGCCGAGGCAGGTGGATCACGAGGTCAGGAGATGGAGACCATCCTGGCTAACACGGTGAAACCCCGTCTCTACTAAAAATACAAAACATTAGTTGGGCGTGGTGGCAGGTGCCTGTAGCCCCAGCTACTCGGGAGGCTGAGGCAGGAGAATGGCGTGAACCTGGGAGGAAGAGGTTGCAGTGAGCCGAGATTGCGCCACTGCACTCCAGCCTGGGCGACAGAGTGAGACTGTGTCGAAAAAAAAAAAAATTAATAAGATAGATAGACTGCTAGTAGACTAATACAGGCAAAAAAATAAAAGAGGGAAGATCCAAATAAACACTATCAGATATCCCAAAGGGGATGTTACCACTGACTTCACAGAAATACAAAAAACTCTCAGAGACTACTATGAACACCTGCATGCACACAAGCTACAAAACCTAAAAGAAACAGATAAGTTCCTGGAAACATACAACCACCCAAGACTGAATCAGGAAGACAGTGAATCCCTGAACAGAACAATAAAGAGTTCTGCATTTGAAACAGTAAGAAAAGCCTACCAACCAGAGAATGCCCAGGACCAGGCAGATTCACAGCTTAATTCTGCCAGATGTATAAAGAGGAGCTGCTGAGCTGCTACCATTCCAATGAAACTACTCCAAAAGGTTGAGTTGTAGGGACTCCCTCCTACCTCATTCCATGAGGCCAGCATCATCTTAATACCAAAACCTTGCAGACAGACAGACAGACAGACAGACACACACACACACACACACACACACACACACACACACCCCTCTTCAGGCCAATATCCTCAATAATCATAGATTCAAAAATTCTCAACAAAATACTAGCAAACCATATCCATATCCAGCAGCACATCAAAAACCTAGCCCACCACAGTCAAGTAAGGTGGGTTCAACATATGCAAATCAATAAATTATTCATCTCAAAAAAGGAACTAAAAACAAAAACCATTTGATCTCAATAGATACAGAAAAGGCTTTTGATAAATTTCAACATCCCTTCCTATTAAAAACTCTCAAGAAATTAGGCATTGAAGAAACATACTTCAAAATAATAAGTCATCTCTGACAAACCCACAGTCAACATCATACTGAATAGGCAAACATTGAAAGCATGCCCCTTGAGAACTGGAACGAGGAAAGAGTGACCATTTTCACCATTCCTATTAAACATAGTATTGGAGATCCTGGCCAAAGCAAACAGGCAAGAGAAAAAAATAAAAAACGCATCCTGACAGGAAAAGTTGTCAAAACTAGCTATCTTCACTGATAAAATGATTCTATACCTATAAAGCCCTAAAGACCCCACCAAAAGCCTTTGACAAACAATGTTAGCAAAGTTTCAGGATACAAATTAAATGTTCAAAAATCAGTAACATTCCTATACATCAACAAGATCCAATCTGAGAGCCAAAACAAGAGCAAAAATCCATTTACTATGACCACAAAAGGAATAAAATACCTAGGAATACAGCTAACCAGGGAGGTGAAAGATCTCTAAAATGCAACTACAAAACACTGCTCTAAGAAATCAGAAAAGACAAATAGAAAAATATTCCACTCTTATAGGAATAATCAAGATTGTTAAAAATGCCAAACTGCCCAAAGCAATCTACAGATTCACTGCTGTCTGTATCAAACTTTCAATTACATTCTTCTCAGAATTCAAAAACACTATTTAAAAATTCTTATAAAACCTAAAAAGAGCTTGAATAGCCAAGGCAATCCTAAGTAAAGAGGACAAACCTGGAGGCATCACGTGACCCAACTTCAAAACAGCATGCTACTGTTATAAATACACACACATAGATGAATAGAAGAAAATAGAGAGACCAAAAATAATGCCATGCACCTGCAACCATCTGCTCTTTGACACAGTAGACAAAAATAAGTGACGGGGAAAGTCTCCCTATTCAATAAATGATGTTGGAATAACCTGCTAGCCATATGCAGAAGGTCAAAACTGGACCCCTTTCTTATAAAATATACAAGAAGCAACTCAAGATGGGTCAAAGATTTAAATGCAAAACCTAAAATTATTAAAACCCTGGAAGATAACCTAGGAAATACCATGCTGAACATAAGAATGGAGAAAGAGTTCATGACTAAGACCCCCAAAATCAATTGCAACAAAAGCAAAAATTTATAAATGAGATCTACTTAAACTTAAGCTTCTACACAGGAAAAAAAAAAACTATCAACAAAGTAAACAACACAGAGAATGGGAGAAAATATTTGCAAACTATGCATCTGACTAAGGTCTAATAATCTATAAGAAACTGAAAAAGTAATAAGCAGTAACAACCCCATTAAAAGGTGGGCAAAGGTCATAAACAGACACTTTTCAAAAGAAGACATATATGTGGCCAAAAAGGATATTAAACTGTTCAATATTACTAGTCATTAGAGAAATGCAAATCAAAAGCAGAATAAGACAACAGTCAAAATGGCAATTAATAAAATGTCAAAAAAATAACATGCTGGCGAGGTTGCAGAAAAAGGGATGGCTTATATGTTGCTAGTGGGAATGTAACTTAGTTCAGCATTGTGAAAACTTGTTTGACAATTTCTCAGAGAACTCAAAGCAGAATTACCATGTGACCTAGAAATCCCATTATTGGGTATATACTCCAGGGAATCTAAATCATTCTACCATAAAAACACATGCATGTGTATATTCATCATAGCAATATTCACAATATTAAAGACACGGAGTCAACCTAAATTCCCATGAATGGTAGACTGGGTAAAGAAAATGTGATACACACACGCTATAGAACACTAAGCTGCAATAAAAAAGTATGTTACTATGTCTTTTGTAGCAATGTGGATGGAGCTGGAGGCCATTATCCTAAGCCAACTAATGCTGGAACAGAAAACCAAATACAGCATGGTCTTACAAGTAGGAGCTAAACATTGAGTACATCTGGACACAAAGAAGGGAGCAAAAGACACTAAGGTCTACTTGAGGTGGAAGGAGAGAGAAGGGTGAGGATCAAAAATTACCTATTACTATGCTTATTACCTGGGTGGAGGAATAATCTGTAAACCAAACTCCTATGAAACACAATTTACTTCTACAACAAACCTGCACATGTACCCCTGAACCTAAAATAAAAATTTTAAAAAAGAAAATGTGGCACATGTACACCATAGAATACTATGCAGCCATAGAAAATAATGAAATCATGTCTTTCAAATTATTCAGTTTTGCAGAAACACAGATCCAGCTGGAGGCCATTATCTTAAGTGAATTAACACAGCAACAGAAAACCAAAAACTGCATTTTCTTACTTATAAGTGGGAGCTAAACACTGGGTACTCAAGGACATAAAGATGGCAACAAAAGACACTTCAGATTACTAAAGGAGAGAAGCAGGGAGATAGAGAAAGAGTTGAAAAACTAGCTATTGGGTAGTATGCCCACTACCTGGATGATGGGATCAATTGTACCATAAACCTCAGCATCACGCAATATAACCATGTAACAAACCTGCGCATATATCCCATGAATCTAAACAAAAATGAAATAAAAAATTTTCTCATCTCAATCAAGGAATCATGTTCTATTTTGGTTAAGGAGATAACTTCATGGGTGGAAGACAAGATTTAAGAGAGAAAAACTTAAAATGATGTAGTATTTCAAACAGTGAAAGAACATATTCTAAAATACAATAACAGGAAGCAATGTTTTAAGAATTATATCAAACCTGGAAGGAATCCTATACAGCTGATGGAAGCAAAGGAAGCTAAGTGATAATTATTCAATTGCCCATTACATCTACAGTAAGGTATGCAATATTTTGTCAGTTTATTCCATGATAGTTTATTGCAGTTTATTCCATTTATAATTTCCATTATAACATGAAAAATTATCTCCAAAGACTTAATTTCTGATTTCTTAAAACTTATTTTCCTCAAGTTTAAACCCCAGTTCTGTTGTTCATTATCTGTCTTACATTAGAGAAGTTACTTAATCTCTCTAATCTGTAAAATCAGGATAATAGTAACTACTTCACTGTGGCTGTTCTGAATATTGAGAAAATATGTATGAATTTTTGAGTACATTGTCTGGTACAAAATGGGAAGTCTACAAATTGTTTCATAATCATAATTTGTATTGTTTTTATATCTAATATTGCTACAACAGCTTTAAAATAAAATCAGTTTGATATGCAACTACTGATTCTTCAAAGTAACATAGGACTATTTCTTATAATTTTTTTTTGTTTGTTTCTTAGAACAGTAGAGATTCCCAGAGTTAATGAGCACGGTTTTGGGGAGATGTTAGATTTTTACAATATAATTTTAATAAAAGGTTTAGAAATAAAATATTAAGCTACTAGATTTTGAGAGGCTCTTATTGGAAACGTTTTTTCAGAAAGTCAGCTAACACAGACTGTTGAAAGAGCTGTGCTGATGAAATCTGAAATTGAGCCCCCTTAATAAAAAGCATTCCCCGTATATAAAATAGATTTTTTCAGAATTGAACAATGAAAATATACACACGATACAACTAAGTTTTTTACTATCTCTAGTGAGGAGAAATTTAATCTGGCCAAGAGGTGATGGAGTAAAAATTTTAATAGGTACATTTCCTAGTGATGGTTATCATATGTGTTTCCTTACAGGCATCTTTAGCACACTCTGCATATATAATAAAGTTGTTATCTGCTGCAATAATGTAAAAAGTTGCATCAACTTCTAGAAGGCCTATCACTGTGACTTGTATGGGGTCAGTACTGAACAAGTATTGCTGAACAAAACAGAAATCTAAAATCTATTTTTCATCATTTCTCATTACAAAAGGGAATGACATAAAAATAATGTGTTTATGAGCTACACAATAAATTAATGAGATGTTTCTATAGGTATACAAAAATTTATATACCGAAATAAGTCCTGTCTTTGAGCGTGTTCACCTCTAAGAGCTACTGGCTTTTATTGCCCAAGACAGTTTTTAACTTCAATTTTTTGAAATGCCCTCCACAGCCTATATGTTATTAACAAGGAAACTTATTCATGATAATAAGAGGCAATTAAACTTGAGGAATAGACAGTATTCATTAATGGAGGAATTCAGAGAGGAAGATGTTGAAGTTAAGAAACTAAAAATAGGTAACATCACGGAAAATCGTAAAAACTTTCTATATGAGGAAGATACAGAAAAAGTGTACAAACTGGAAGAGATCACCTGAAAATAGAACGAAGCAAAGCCATGGGAGATTTTGTATTCTTTTGATCATGAATGTGAGGGGTGCCAAGAACACAAAGAAAGTTTAATCAAGTCATGTTAGGATTTTAGTAAATGCTGTATGATTTACACACCATTCTTAATTGACCTGAAATTATAATGGCATTATAATTAAAGAAACCACATTAAAATGAGATAAACAGTGATTGGAATCAGATCCGTATATGGTCTGGTTAGCTACATGTTTTGGCAATGGTATAAGGAGAAATTTTTCAGGAATTTAAGCCTTATAGAATGAGGTCACGAGAGATTTTAAGTTGTGTATTAATGGCTTAATTATATGTATAGCACATGTCTGATATATTTTTTTCTGGTTCTGGTCAAAGTTAATAGAGACAAATCATGTACTTTATGTCATCTTGACTCATATCTGGTAACATATTTTTCTTCTTTGAAATAATTGGAAATATCCAATTGTAAACCATTTCTGTTCTTTTCTTCTTCAGCTTACTGGCAATGACAACTTATTGATTAGAAGAGTTGGCTTCGTGCCACTATAGGATGTTGAATCATTCCTTGGCCATTTTTTTTTTTCTGGGTAAAAACTACTTTTCTCTTTGCAACTAAAGCTTGAAGACAAAACCTCAAATACATTCTCACTGCTAAAAATATAAGTTTAATATTATACCTTATAAGTAATGTTTTAAAAAATATTTTAAATAAAGATTTTTAATATGGAAAATATATAACATTTATGTTAAGAGTTGAACAGGTCCTAATTTCATGATCACTGTCTCTTAAATGATAATTTAAAAATACTGTTTTTGGTTAAATATAACACATTCTCTCCTCTTTCTAAAGTGCATTTACATACATTCTTCACTCTACTCATTTTTCTTCTGTATTTCTTCCCTGGTTAAGAAGATCATCCTCTTAAAGCCAAAACGTGCAGGTGCACATGTACCCTAAAACTTAAAGTATAATAATAATAATAAATAAATAAATAAAAAACAAAAAAAAAACATGTAGTTTCAGAAGCAAATGAAAAACTATCATTCCATACATTTAAAATTCATATCCGAACATACTTGCCAATAATCACCGAATCAGAAAACTCATTTTGTTACATCTAAATGTTTCTAAGAAGTTATCTAAATAAGAATTTGTCTAGCAAATAGCGTATCGATTCTCTTAACTTTTTTGGCATTCTGAGGTAAACTGAATGAAAGTTCTTACGTTTAAATCTCTAATCCATCTTCAGTTAATTTTTGTATAACGTGTAAGGAAGGGGTCCAGTTTCAGTTTTCTGCATATGGCTAGCCACTTTCCCAACATCATTTACTAAATAGGGAATCCTTTCTCCATTTCTGGTTTTGGTCAGGTTTGTCAAAGATCAGATGGTTGTAGATGTGTAGTGTTATTTCTGAGGTCTCTGTTCTGTTCCATTGGTCTATATGTCTGTTTTGGTACCAGTACCATGCTGTTTCCATTAATGCAGCTTTGTAGTATAGTTTGAAGTCAGGTAGCTTAATGCCTCCAGCTTTGTTCTTTTTGCTTAGGATTGTCTTGGCTATATGGGCTCTTTCTTGGTTCCATATGAAATTTAAAGTAGTTTTTTTCTAATTCTGTGAAGAAAGTACATGGTAGCTTGATGGGAATAGCATTGAATCTATAAATTACTTTGGGGGGTGTGGCCATTTTTGCGATATTGATTCTTCCTATCCATGGGCATGGAATGTTTTTCCATTTGTTTGTGTCCTCCAATTTCCTTGAGCAGCGGTTTGTAGTTCTCCTTGAAGAGGTCCTTCACATCCCTTGTAAGTTGGATTCCTAGGTATTTTATTCTCTTTGTAGCAGTTGTGAATGGGAGTTCACTAATGATTAGGCTCCCTGTTTGTCTATTATTGGTGTATAGGAATTCTTTTGATTTTTGCACATTGATTTTGTATCGTGAGACTTTGCTGAAGTTGCTTATCAGCTTAAGGAGATTTGGGGCTGAGACGACGGGGTTTTCTAAAGATACAATCATGTGATCTGCAAACAGACACAATTTGACTTCCTCTCTTCCTATTTCAATGCCCTTTATTTCTTTCTCTTGCCTGATTGCCCTTGCCAAAACTTCCAATACAGTGCTGAATAGGAGTGGTGAGAGACAGCATCCTTGTCTTGTGCCGGCTTTCAAAGGGAATGCCTCCAGCTTTTGCCCATTCAGTATAATATTGGCTGTGAGTTTGTCATAAATAGCTCTTATTATTTTGAGATATGTCCCATCAATACCTACTTTATTTAGAGTTTTTAGCATGAAGGGGTGCTGAATTTTATCAAAGGCTTTTTCTACATCTATTGAGAAAATCAGGCGGTTTCTGTCATTGGTTCTGTTTATGTTTATGATAGATTATGTTTATTGATTTGTATATGTTGAACCAGTCTTGTAACCCAGGGGTGAAGTCGACTTGATAAGGTGGTGGTGGATAAGCTTTTCAATGTGCTGCTAGATTCAGTTTGCTAGTGATTTTATTGAGGATATTTGCGTCGATGTTCATCAGGAATATCGGCCTGAAATTTTCTTTGTTGGGTCTCTGCTAGGTTTTGGTATAAGGATGAAAACCTAGGCAATATCATTCAGGACATACGCATGGGCAAAGACTTCATACCTAAAACACCAAAAGCAATGGTAACAAAAGGAAAAATTGTCAAATGGGATCTAATTAAACTAAAGAGCTTCTGCACAGCAAAAGAAACTATCATCAGAGTGAACAGACAACCTACAGAATGGGAGAAAATTTTTGCTATCTATCCATCTGACAAAGGGCTAATATCCATAATCTACAAAGAACATAAACAAATTTACAAGAAAAAAAATCCCATCAAAATGTGGGCGAAGGATACAAACAGACATTTCTCAAAAGAAGACATTTATGTGGCCAATAAACATATGAAACAAAGCTAATCATCACCAGTCATTAGAGAAATGCAAATCAAAACCACAATAAGGGCAGGGTGCGGTGGCTCACGCCTGTAATCCCAGCACTTTGGGAGGCATAGGCAGGTGGAGGCAGGCGGAGGCAGGCGGATCACGAGGTCAGGAGATAGAGATCATCCTGGCTAACATGGTGAAACCCTGTCTCTACTAAAAATACAAAAAATTAGCCAGGTGTGATGGTAGGCACCTGTAGTCTCACCTATTTGGGAGGCTGAGGCAGAAGAATGGCGTGAACCTGGGAGGCGGAGGTTGCAGTGAGTCGAGATCGCGTCACTGTACTCCAACCTGGGCAACAAAGCAAGACCCCATCTCAAAAAAAAAAAAAAAAAAAAAACACAATGAGATACCATCTCACACCAGTTAGAATGGCAATCATTAAAAAGTCAGGAAACAACAGATGCTGGAGAGGATGTGGAGAAATTGGAATGCTTTTACACTGTTGGTGGGAGTGTAAATCAGTTCAACCGTTGCGGAAGACAGTGTGGCAATTCTTCAGGGATCTAGAACCAGAAATACCATTTGACCCAGCAATCCTATGACTGGGTATATACCCAAAGGATTAAAAATTATTTTACTATAAAGACACATGCACACATATGTTTATTGCAGCACTATTCACAATAGGAAAGACTTGGAACCAACCCAAGGATGGGTTCATGTCCTTTGCAGGGACATGGATGAAGATGGAAACCATCATTCTCAGCAAATTAACACAGGAACATACACCAAACACCGCATGTTCTCACTCATAAATGGGAGGTGAAAAATGAGAACACATGGACACAGGGAGGGGAACATCACACACCTGGGCCTATGTGGGGGTGGGGGGCTAAGGGAGGGATAGCATTAGGAGAAATACCTAATGTAATGTAGATGACGGGTTGATGGGTGGAGCAAACCACCATGGCACATGTATACCTAAGTAACAAACCTGCGCATTCTGCACATGTATCCCAGAACTTAAAGTATAATAATAATAGTAAAAAGTTCTGAACCTGGGTTGACTGATGACTTTCAGGGATTTTGTTCATCTTCTGAAATCATCTGCAAAATACTATGTGTACATACATTTGAGTAGTGACTAGAGTATCAAGGCACACAGCTTTTAAAGTAGTCAGGACCACACAAAAACAGCTAGGTATTTCATACTTTTTTTTTTATTATACTTTACATTTTAGGGTACATGTGCACATTGTGCAGGTTAGTTACATATGTATACATGTGCCATGCTGGTGCACTGCACCCACTAACTCGTCATCTAGCATTAGGTATATCTCCCAATGCAATCCCTCCCCACTCCACCCACCCCACAACAGTCCCCAGAGTGTGATATTCCCCTTCCTGTGTCCATGTGATCTCACTGTTCAATTCCCACCTATGAGTGAGAATATGCGGTGTTTGGGTTTTTGTTCTTGCGGTAGTTTACTGAGAATGATGATTTCCAATTTCATCCATGTCCCTACAAAGGACATGAACTCATCCTTTTTTATGGCTGCATAGTATTCCATGGTGTATATGTGCCACATTTTCTTAATCCAGTCTATCATTGTTGGACATTTGGGTTGGTTCCAAGTCTTTGCTATTGTGAATAATGCCACAATAAACATACGTGTGCATGTGTCTTTATAGCAGCATGATTTATAGTCCTTTGGGTATATACCCAGTAATGGGATGGCTGGGTCAAATGGTATTTCTAGTTCTAGATCCCTGAGGAATCGCCACACTGACTTCCACAATGGTTGAACTAGTTTACAGTCCCACCAACAGTGTAAAAGTGTTCCTATTTCTCCACATCCTCTCCAGCACCTGTTGTTTCCTGACTTTTTAATGATTGCCATTCTAACTGGTGTGAGATGGTATCTCATTGTGGTTTTGATTTGCATTTCTCTGATGGCCAGTGATGATGGGCATTTTTTCATGTGTTTTTTGGCTGCATAAATGTCTTCTTTTGAGAAGTGTCTGTTCATGTCCTTCGCCCACTTTTTGATGGGGTTGTTTTTTTCTTGTAAATTTGTTTGAGTTCATTGTAGATTCTAGATATTAGCCCTTTGTCAGATGAGTAGGTTGCGAAAATTTTCTCCCATTTTGTAGGTTGCCTGTTCACTCTGATGGTAGTTTCTTTTGCTGTGCAGAAGCTCTTTAATTAGATCCCATTTGTCAATTTTGTCTTTTGTTGCCATTGCTTTTGGTGTTTTAGACATGGAGTCCTTGCCCATGCCTATGTCCTGAATGGTAATGCCTAGGTTTTCTTCTAGGGTTTTTGTGGTTTTAGGTCTAACGTTTAAGTCTTTAATCCATCTTGAATTGATTTTTGTATAAGGTGTAAGGAAGGGATCCAGTTTCAGCTTTCTACATATGGCTAGCCAGTTTTCCCATGTCCATTTATTAAATAGGGAATCCTTTCCCCATTGCTTGTTTTTCTCAGGTTTGTCAAAGATCAGATAGTTGTGGATATGCGGCGTTATTTCTGAGGGCTCTGTTCTGTTCCATTGATCTATATCTCTGTTTTGGTACCAGTACCATGCTGTTTTGGTTACTGTAGCCTTGCAGTATAGTTTGAAGTCAGGTAGTGTGATGCCTCCAGCTTTGTTCTTTTGGCTTAGGATTGACTTGGCAATGCGGGCTCTTTTTTGGTTCCATATGAACTTGAAAGTAGTTTTTTCCAATTCTGTGAAGAAAGGCATTGGTAGCTTGATGGGGATGGCATTGAATCTGTAAATTACCTTGGGCAGTATGGCCATTTTCACGATATTGATTCTTCCTACCCATGAGCATGGAATGTTCTTCCATTTGTTTGTATCCTCTTTTACTTCCTTGAGCAGTGGTTTGTAGTTCTCCTTGAAGAGGTCCTTCACATCCCTTGTAAGTTGGATTCCTAGGTATTTTATTCTCTTTGAAGCAATTGTGAATGGGAGTTCACTCATGATTTGGCTCTCTGTTTGTCTGTTGTTGGTGTATAAGAATGCTTGTGATTTTTGTACATTGATTTTCTATCCTGAGACTTTGCTGAAGTTGCTTATCAGCTTAAGGAGATTTTGGGCTGAGACGATGGGGTTTTCTAGATATACAATCATGTCGTCTGCAAACAGGGACAATTTGACTTCCTCTTTTCCTAATTGAATACCTTTTATTTCCTTCTCCTGCCTAATTGCCCTGGCCAGAACTTCCAACACTATGTTGAATAGGAGTGGTGAGAGAGGGCATCCCTGTCTTCTGCCAGTTTTCAAAGAGAATGCTTCCAGTTTTTGCCCATTCAGTATGATATTGGCTGTGCGTTTGTCATAGATAGCTCTTATTATTTTGAGATACGTCCCATCAATCCCTAATTTATTGAGAGTTTTTAGCATGAAGGGTTGTTGAATTTTGTCAAAGGCCTTTTCTGCATCTATTGAGATTTTTCAAACACTTGCTTACAGACATGGAACGTTCTTGAATGCTTAAAGTATGTTGATCGAATTGAAACCCATAATTGTTCATTGAGTACCTGCTGGGTGTAGGAGCTATGGTCAGCGTTCCAACTCAGTAAGATTACAAGAACTTGCAAATAGGGTCAGGAGAGGGTAAGCATGTGCATATATTCACTAAAATACAAGGCAATGCAAAAATAAATGGTATAGTAGCTACAAGATAAGGGGTTAAGAAGACATTCATGAAGATGCTAACTTCAATATATCACTTAGTATGAGAGGAGCTTGGCCACTTCTCATTCTTAAGAAGTTATTATTAAGGTACAAATATTACAATTCCACCTTAAATAATGCATTGAGTCACATATGCCAAGAAACATGAAAATAAGTCATTTCACAAAATATAAGTGCCATCTGTTACTCCACTGTTGAGTTGAGCAATACCTGTTGAGTTGAGCAATACATATATCTAAAACCTTGTGTGGGGACTGCAACAATGAAAGGACACAGCTCATGTTTCAGGCAGTTAACAATTTATTTTACTCTTGAATATTTCACATTTTCTGAATGTGTGTGTGCTATTTGATTCTTAAATGTGGTAT
Organism: Homo sapiens; assembly: GCF_000001405.40. Classification (NCBI taxonomy): domain Eukaryota; kingdom Metazoa; phylum Chordata; class Mammalia; order Primates; family Hominidae; genus Homo; species Homo sapiens. The sequence goes on along the minus strand of NC_000011.10, from coordinate 99,781,120 downwards.
AAACTAAAATATCCTATCAAGCAGACACAATTCTGCCAGAACTAAGACTAAATTTGGAATTTGCAGGAGTAAATACAAAGACAACATGATCAATTAGCATCTACCAATATTTTTATGGGAACATGAAACATTGTGTGTTCAAATTTCCTAAGATGCCACGTGTGTTTCCAGCAGCTTCCCTTTCCCTTCCTGATCTACAAAGTTATCTATAAATTAAGCCCACCTGATTTACCAAGGATTCTCTCTCATTTTCTCCCACTGTGATCTTAACACATTTTCCTTGAAGTTGCACTTTTAAAACTCATTTATTGACAGTGTGGCACAGTGTGTTCCTCTATGTCATAACATCAAACAAACAAAAAACCACACAATTTTATAAAGCGTAATTTTACTCTAGATTTGAAGGTAAGGATTAAACACTTTGAAGTATTTTTATAACAAAAGTAAACATACTGTGAAATGGAAATGCAAACTGTTCTTAAAATTTTAATATTGTCCATTAGATTTTAGAGCTAATCCTTGTAATAAACTCTCTTGGACTACACTCTGATCTCCCATCTGTTGTGTTGGTTCAAGCTTACTTGCCCTTTTGAGTGCTTTGCTAAGTTGAGAATCTCACTCTTAAAATCCAATTCACTTATTTATTCTCAACCCGACCTTTATTCATTCATTTCTCATTTAAAGTGTCGTTATAATGTCTTTTCTTTCCTCCCAGCTAAATTCAAAATTATTTTCTAAGCAAATTTCTAATCTTCTATACTGATAATTAAGTAGTAATAATCTTGTATTAGCCATATTCTCCTCTTACCCTGATCTTCTTCAGCATTGATAATCTATATTATTCACACACTTGCTTGTAAATATACTAACGTATGAAATAGTAATACTTATTTCTGCAGAGGACTGCATGCAAAAGGCTTAATTAATCTGAAGGGGGGGAAAAAAACTAAGAAGGAGGACTTGATAACAGTAACAGAAACTACCAGTAGTTTATCTGCTAGGCAAGAGAAGAGGCAACGTTGCCAAAACATTTTTAAGGATCATGACAGTCTCTATATAATATCCATGTCCAGACTCCTTCTATGCTGAACAACAACATGCTCCCTCTTCACGTATACGTATCAAGAAACTATGGACAATTTGAGTGTGGAAAGGATCATTGCGCCATGGAACATTCCACTCTAAGATGTAGTAGGAGTCCTGACTACAAGGGTGGCATCTGAATTGCCTGGTGCAATTGAAGGGAGCAGATCATGGGGTCTAGGTGGATTGCACAGCCACTGAGAACTTATAGTTCTGCATATTATGATTTCTTAGTTATATGCAAGGGATTTGTTGTTGGCCACAAACTGATGTAATAAGAACTTCCTTTGAGCAGTAAACAGAGTTTAAACATTGCTACAAGATACTTTTTTAAGTTACTTATTCTTTCAATGCCTCAATTTCCTTGTCAATATAGTAAGAATCATAACCCTATTCCTCATAGTGTTACTGTTAGAATTTGAAGAAATTCTTCATGTAAAGCCCTTGTACAAGGACTAATACTTGGCACACAGAAAACAAGTAAGAAACCTCAGCTATCATTACAATTATTCTAAGGGAAGCTGGAAATTTACCAGTCTTCTGGAAAGTTAACAAGATTTTGTATCACATATTCTAAGTAAATGTAATCAAAGAATGATTGTCAGTCTATTTGGCTCTACAAGTAGAAGACTTTGAAAGTCTTAGTGTTGTATTCACAAGAGAGTCAAATTTTATAACTACTTTGCTTGAAATACATTAAAAATTCTATTTCCATATCTGAATTCAGCCTGATTACAGAAAATGAATAAATGCCTTGATGAGAGTTATACATTTAATTATTTTATTTCTTCTGAATTTTTTCTTGCCTAAAATTCTACAAACTTGTAGAGAAAAATTTCTACAAATTTAGAAATACAGAAATCATTTATGAAAACTGTTTTTCCTCCTAAATATGCAAATGTTTATAAAGTATTCATAATATGATATTAAAATGTCTATAGATTAAGGAAATGTTTCAAGAAATTGTATTAATTAGAAAATAATGGGTGTCTTTTTAAAAATTTTCTGATGAGGTATAAAATGGTAGTATTGTTGTGTTTAAAATAAAACACTATATAATCTCTCCAGTTCACCTGGACATTGAGAAAAACAACACACCTACTTATATAGAATTATTTGAGAATGATGTAATAAAATGCTATGAAATTAATTTACCATATTCTTTTATAAATTTAACACAAATAGAGAAAAATTGTTGATATTAATTTCAATTAAATTCAGAAATGGTGAATATTTTATTGATATAGTTTTTGAACTCACTTTTTATTTCTTACCAAAATAATCATAGTGATGATAATATTAATACATTGATTTTTTTTTAGTTTATTACTTGTCCTTGGAGAAGATCTTAGGATGCATAATAAAGTATCTGGTTGCTTTCTCAATTAGGGCTTTAACCTATGATGAACTTTCATTTGGCCATCTCTTCCTGACACATAATCACAATGACTATGAGATTAATTTATTTAGACAGGATTCAACAGGGCACGTACTTGTTTCCACAATTTGATGGGGAATAAGAACCAATTCCCCACAGAATAGAGGAATAAGAGCTTTTATCCATCTATTCTAATATACATTAATTTTTAAAAAGCATATAATAGTTAAGAAAATCCTGTTAGATACTCAGAAATAAGGATTTTTAAAGCATACAGTCTAAACACAAAACAGTTTAACTGTGGTTTTAGAGTAAGGTGATGTCATAGACCTACACCTAATCATTGCTCAATATTGATCAAGATGACAACACTTCTCAGTCTTTAATAGAGTCAGCTGAACAAGTCTGAAAACCTGAGTTGTGTATCCAAGCAGGACATACCTAAAGAATGTTTTTGGGAATCCATCACAAAGTTTTTGCCTTTGACTTCAGTAGTTTTATGAAAGAGATTGTTTTAATAGAGAACAAGGCTTAAACACTACAGAGGATGTGAACAGTGCATCTGGTAAGATAAGTTGAAAAAAAATTCAACTCAATCTGAATTAAAAAATGGAGTCATATATGGTTATATAACCTAAAATATTCAGAGATAAAGCTAGTGTAAGGGTACGCCTATTATGGCTGTTAAACAATATCACAGAATACCCAATTACCATTTCTTCTTCCTGTGTTTAATGGGGTTGTCAGTTAAACTGCTTTCACATGTAGTATTATATATAATCTGTATAACAACTGTGGATGGAGTGATTAGGTAAAATCGTACATATGTATGTGAAAGTAATCCATAAACTATAAAATATCATGTAAAAGTGGAATTGTATAATTAGCACTATTATTGTTACTCAATTTGAAATGTTTTGGCATTAAAAATCAACTCTGTTACACCTGAGGTTTGCGGAGCACTCAAAAAATAGGAATTTGAAGCTTTCAATTTAGAAATATACCCTTGGCAACCACACATTTACTAGTCTAACAGAAAAAAACTGTCAAGAACAATTTTTTTTATCTTGAGAATTAACACTTTTTGATTGACCTTATATAAAATTGCTTTCAAGTAATTAAAAATTAGTTTTTATAGTGGAAAAGTTCAGTGGAAGACTAAATTCCAAACATGTTATTTTTGAAATTGAGACATTGTGTTAGCATCGTTTACTCTCTTAATTTTGCATTTATACATTCGTGATTTATTTTGCCAGACCAATTTGCCTAGAATTAACTTTTATAACTAAATGCAAAAAACAACCTGAACAGAAGAACAGTGCTTTTATTTCTTTGATGAGATGCACAACATTTGTAATCATGGTCAAAAATTTCAATATCCATGGGCAGCATGTCATTGCGCTATTTTAAAAGATACATGTGAACTTCAAAAGGTATTTTTGTCTTACTGTAAACACTACTTTTTTTGAATAGTAAATTGTCAAAATCATGAATATATTTCAGTGAATGTAATATTCACCATAATAAACATCTGTTCAACTTAATTTCTTTAAAGTTATAATAATAATCAAATATGGCTACTTGGGAAGTAGAATATTTGCTGTTCCACTGAAGAAGAACATTGTAAAAGTAAATCAAATGAAAAAACTCAATATAACATTTTGGTTAGAAATGAAAAAATGACATTTTTAAAATAACATAATTTCTTAGAGAAAGCAGAAAGTTTGCTTGCATCTCATGTTCACATTGGAGCTGGGGCTGGTCCTGAACTTTACCAGTTGCTAGAAAGAGGTTTAAGTAGTCTTGTAAATATTTCAAGTTAAAATGTGGTATTATTCTTTGCAGTCGCTTTTGAATAGTTTTTTTTTTAATTGTCATTGAGTTTCCTATAAGATATCCATCCTTCATACCCAGTAATAAAGCGTGTTCCACATGAGTTGATTAGCTTCTGTCCCGTAGAGAGCACTGCTGTATATTTATGCAAGCACCACTAGGCCATTGAAAGTTGAAAATAAAAGTTAACAGGATCAATGTTTTTGAGTCTCATCAAAACAAAGATGGGGCCACAGAGACGGAGAAAGTTATGGAAAGAACACTGAGAATAACATTCTACTTTTAAATGAAGATTTCAATATATATATTTTAAGCTCAGTATGAGTTATGTAAGTCATTAATAGCCACTTTCTTTTCCCAAAAATGGCCTAGGAAAATTAAAAAAAAATTGATAATGATAGGAAAGCAATGCTTTTAGAGAAATTTTTTCTATAAATGGTGTGTTGAAATTGGGTATTAATTTTGAAATCGATTTCTTTAAAATGTAAATTAAACATCCCCACCTACTGAAAAGCTCTCCTGACATTTCTACCTCTCCTTAAGAGTTAGTTTCTGCCTTCTCTGTACTCCTACAGGATGCTGTGTGTGTGGCTTCTGCAGCATAATATAGTTAGTCACATGCTCTAGGGCTCTACTGAATTTAACCCCATAAAGTCACGGTCCTCTTCTCATTCATTATGCTAGCAATGCCTAGCACAGAGTGTTTACTCAATAAACATGTATTCAATAAATGACCAAGTGACTAATGAAAATGAAAATCATTTCAAGGGCAGAAATAAATTTTACCTAGAATACCAAATTAGCAATACAAATATAAATTCTATGAAAAGATATGACTATAAAGAACTATTGAATTTTCTCCAAATTACTCTAAGCATAGAGGATGTAAATTATTTACAACCAACACATATTCTAATGTCTTTATTTATTAACCTATATTTAACGTTATTAAGGAGTTTTTCTTTTCCTTCTTTCTTGATAATTTTTTTAAATGGGAACGCTAACGTAAAAATACTTGATAATCAATCAAGATCGTATATAAAGTGGAAACTTCACTTAAAATATATTAATGCTTAGCATTATTATCATAACGTGAGTACAAAATTCTACTTATAGCACACAGAGGTAAATATACATAGAGAGAGAGCATGTGATACAGAGATTATCTAATACATCCAATAGTTTTGCATATGCCCGAAGAAAACTTAAAATATGAGTGCCTTAAATAATTTTAAGAATAGTTTTAGATTATTTTTCCAGTAATTATCTACCTGTTTCTTTCTTTCTCTCATTTGTTTTTTAAAGTTATGAGGTTTTTGTTTGACCAAAGCTCTTCAGTAGATGAGACATTAATCACAATATATTTTTATATTTAACTGGATTAGATATTAACCTTCATTTCCAAAATGACATGAAGACTCATTCTGAACAGTGTCATGAACAGATATTTAATCAGTCCAACCATTTATCCCCAGGAAATCTGCATCTCAGAGGTTTTATATCATTTTACATTATTTTTCATTGTTAAGGAACAATAAAAAAGCATAAATGAAAATGACCGTATTAAAAAAGCAAGATATTTTACTTCCCAATGTCATTGGAAATGGGAAACTACGCTAGCAGAAAATACAAAAATATTATCACTCAAAGGTAAATCTTTTTATGGCTAAGCATCACGCCCATGGCAGAGTAAAAACCACTCAGTATGGCCACAATGATGATCAGTTTGGATTGACTTAGCTATAGAGCATCTGCAGAGATTTAAAGGATTGGCCACAATACTCTTCTGATGGCTCTGCCAAAGCATGGTCAATTTATTCAGGTCCACAGACCTGAACCAAACCAAAGTGACGCTTTCAAGTGATTATAAAATAGATCCAAATAAAATATCCTATAAATGCAGCCAAATCACTAAGAAATAGATACTTGGGTTACTGGTTTTTTGAAAGAAAATTTTTTTTTAATATTTTGTTATAATGGCTTTAATGTAGTAGAAAAGAACAAAACTGGAGAGCGGATTTATTATGGGTAGCCAGAAAAGAGTCATGTTTCTAACGGAACTGAAACATTGCTCATTCATACATTCTAAGAGAAGAAGCTGTTTCAAAACATTTGAAGTAACAGGACAGAATAAAGCAAATAAGTAACTGGAGGCAACAACGGGATAAAAACGATGAGCCCGAGAACTGCCTTCAAGTCTGTAGACCCCATGAAGGACCTCAGGCCCTTGGAAGACAGTTGGAGAGACAATGTAGGCCTCCTAGCTCTCATTAAGGGATACAAGGTAGTCTGTTTTTAACTTGTTTCTGTAACAGAGCATTTTTTTTTTTTTACTTCTCCTATGAATTTCTTAAAAAAATTGGGCTCGATTAAAGTTGTTTCTATCTTTAAGATCTCATGAGACACACAAACTTTATAAACAAAAGGGGAGGAATCAGATTAACTCCTTTTACAGGGCAAAATAAATTTAACACCCACCCCCCCAAAAAAAAAACCTGAAGTTTTCTAAAGCTAATCATTTAACAATCACTAAATTACTTGGTTTTTTTTTTTTATCACTCTGATAAGTGTTGGGAAGATTTACCCACAAACAAGTATTTGATGAGCATCTGCAATGTACTAGACAGAGTTAATTAAGAAATAGTTCCTGCTCCTTCCTTAGAAACTCATAATGTTATAGGGGTGGTTCGAAAACTTAAACCATTCTAGAACTTGGAAAAAATGTCAAGGAAGAAGCAACAAACTTAAAAAGGAGATTAAAATTGGTGATCACAGTCCATAAAGACTAAGAGAAGGAAGAATCAGAGTGGGGTTTTGAGAGATGAATGGAACTTTATATCATACAAAAGGTGAAAATTGTATTCAGCAGGATAAGCACTTACATAGGCATGAAAAGCTGCAATAGTTGCTAGGAAACCACTAGTAGTTTGTTATTTTTTGTAATATAAACAAGAGCAGTGGTGTAAGGTCCAAAGGAAGACAGGGATCATCTCACGAAGGGCCTTGTGTGTCACGCTCATGAACTTGAATTCCAGCCAATGGTCGACTCAGGGTCATCAGTTAAGGAGTTTTACAAGGAAAATCATACTCAGATAGCAACTTTAAACGTTCGCATTTAATTGGCATTAATATTGATGAGAAATATAATATTACTATTATCACTTTAAAAAATTATTGCTAATTTTTACATTGTATGAAGACAATAAAATTATACATTAAAATGACCATTTTTTTTCCTATGTGTAAGGCTAAGTGGTCATGGGTATTATTTCAATAAAAATTCTTCAAAAATTAATTTGCAGTCTAACATACCCTAGGTTAGTATTTAAATACATACACAGTACAAATGACCTTAAAAACCAAAGACTGTGATAATGTCCAAGAAGGGATTTCTAATAGTTTTTATAAAGCAGAAAAAACCACAAAAATATGAACAAGATCTTTAAGCTTATACATTTAAGTAATGCAACTAAACTCTAATTGAAAATGTTATCACCAATAATTTTTAGAACTATATAAAAACAGATAATTTCTTTGGGGATTTGCACTGGTGTTTAGACATGGATACCTAGAATTTTCCTCAGGCCAACATCTTTTAACCTTGTTATCTTTGATAAATATTGCAATCTATGCTCTACTTGAACGCAAATTAAAATTCAGGTTGACTTATGTAGTGGTTTCCCTGAGGGAGTTGGGGGCAGTGGCTTGCAGAAGCACAAGAGGGTCTTTTTGAATACTGATAATGTTCCATTTCCTAATCTGGTTGTTGGTTCCACAGTTATGTTCACTTATGGCAATTTACCACCTGTGCATAATAAGTAAGTTATACATTATGTGTATATTATACCTCTATGTGGCTGCTTATTTACAAATACTGAAAAAAAATCTAAAATTCTGACTTAGACAATACAAAACCAATAGGACAAAGACTGAATTATTTTCAAACTACATGATCTACAATCCCATCCAGCTTTCTGCCTCTGTGGGTGTGTGTATGTGTGCCACAGATAAAGACTGGAAGTACTGCCCTTTTCTTCCCCATTCTCTCTTATAAAACCATTATTAAACTTTTATAGGTTGCATATCAGGGAATACAACTCCCTGTTCAACTTCAGAGGTAATCTATTATTTAAAATGTATTATGACATGTTGAAATGAAAAAGAAAAATATTTATTTAGCAAAACAAGTTCACCTTCAAAAGTATCTTGAGATTTGGTTAGAATCAAAGTTGTCCTTTATTAGACAAGGCTGTTTTCTTTGACCAAGTGAGCTGCAGTATCAGTGAAACAGGAAGGGTACACATTACATAACAGCCACATCAAGTGAATCAACCCTAAAAATCAATGGGGATTTTTACAGGAATATGTCAGGAGCAAATCCAAGACACCTTGTTGTAACATGAGTAACAAATGTTCACAGAAGTAATTCATGGCAGTTAAGTGTCATTTCCTCTAGAAAATAAAACAAGAAAAATGTAAAACAAATAACGCCACCTTACATACATTCCGGACTTAACCTGTATCACACTACATTGCAATAGCTGGTGTGGATGTTTGACTACACTATATTAATCTTGAGCTGATTACAGTCAACAATCTTAAATCACCTATCTTTGTACCCTCAATGACTAAAACAGTGTCTTAGCACATGGCAAAAAAAAAAATGAAGTAATTGATGTAGTAGAAAAATTTTTCTCACAATGTCCAATGTGATTCTTCAGAAAGAGCACTCCATTGTTGATAAAAAAAAAAAAATACCTCAGAAGTTTCTAAGGTTCAGTTGTCACAAAGCATTTGTACTTTCTTTTATAGACTCCCTCAGTGCCCATATTTTTTATTAGAGACATTTTTTTCAGGTTTTTTTTTCTCCCAGACACTCATGGGTAAAGCATACTTGTATAAAATTTGTGTATATAATATACAGTAAAGTTCACACCATTTCCCTTTCTTTAGGAATTTTCCCAACACATAAAGGAAGCTACTCAATGTATATCTATCACCTCACGCAGTTGCCATCATTTTATGGTGACAACACTTAAGATCTACCATCTTAGCAAATTTCAAGTTTACAATACGGCATTATTAACCTTACTTGACATGCTGTATATTAAATCCCCAGAATGTGGTCATCTTCTAATTGATTATATGTAACTTCTGACCAACGTCTCCTCATTTCCCCCACCGCCAGCTAATGGTAACCACCATTCTATTCTCTGCTTTTCCAAGTTCACTTTTTTAGATTCTACATATAGTGAGATTATGCAGCATTTGTCTTTCCTTGTCTTGCTAATTTTGCCTAACATAATATCCTCCAGTTTCATTAATCTCATCACAAATGCCAGAATTTCTTGCTTGTTATGGCCAAATAATATTTCATTGTGTGTAAATACATATACATATATGTAAATGTGTCTGGTATATACATATATGTGTGTATATGTATGTATGTACATATATGTATTTATTTCACGTTTACTTTATTCATTCATCAGTTGATGGGCATTTAGGTTATTTCGGTGTCTTTGCTATGGTGAATGATGCTGCAATGAACACAGTAGTATAGCTATGTCTTCAGCATACTGACTTTTTCTCTTTTGGGTATATACACAGAAGATTGCTGGATTCTTCTGTATGTGAAAGTCCAGTTTGTTTCAGCTACTTGAGATGTGACCCCAAGAATTTAACAAGAAAATGGTTATATTAATTCAGGTATGAAATGATATGATATTCTGTATGTGAAAGTCCAGGTTCCTCTACACCATTTACTAAAGAGTTTATCCTTTCTCCATTCTATATTCTTCATGCCCTTCTCAAAGATTAGTTTGACCATAAATGTATGAGTTTACCTCTGGGATCTCTGTTGTGTGTTCAGTTTTTATGCCAGTACCATACTCTTTTGATTATTATAGCTTTGTGATACACCTTCAAATCATAAAGCTGTGATGCCTCCAGCTTTGCTCTTTTTTCTCAAAATTGCTTTGGCTATTTAGAATATTTTATGTTTCCATACAAATTTTATGATTTTTTCTAATAACTGTAAAAAATCCATTGAAATTTTTATAGGGTTTGCATTAAACTTGTAGATCACTTTGGATAGTAAGAAAACAAATCCCATTTACAATAGCATCAAAAAATAAAATATTTAGAGAAAAATTTGACTAAGGTTATGAAAGATCTGTGCATTACAAACTAAGACATTGATGAAAGAAATTCAAAAAGACACAAATAAAGACATAATACATAGGAAACTTGAAAAAACTATGAGATATTGACATAATTGAGTGTTAAGCAATTGAGAAAAACAGAAAAACCTGTTCACTATATACAGACACTAAGTTATTCCAGAACATGTTAAAGCAAAATGAAGTATATTAATAACATACTAACTTTATTAAATGCACACATGTATACGCTTTTCTTTTTTTAAAGGATCACAGAATCATAAATTATATGCTAATGAAAATGATCTCTTATGAGGATGTGTTAACAAGTTGAAAGGAACAGATATAAGAATGAGACTTCTTTGAATGTACCTTTGTATAGTTTTGACTTGTGAACCATGTAAATGTTTTTATATTTTTTAAAAACTAAATTTAAGAGAAAAGATAAAGCAAACCTTAATATTATATGCTAATATAAGCAAATTAAACTAACTCAATGTGACTTTTTTAGCATTATCACACAGAAAATAAAGAACAAATTCAAGTAAATTTTAAAAAGATTTAGCTGACAGCAAACACTCCTGTTCCAGGAACAGAAAGAGAAAACAAAAAATCCTTGAACTTTTCTAAATAGATTTTAGGTAGTGATACTGATATTGTGATTTCCTTTAGAAAATAAAACAAAAAAATGTAAAACAAATAACACCAACTTACATACATTCCAGACTTAACCTGTATCACACTGCATTGCAATAGTTGACAAGAGTTGATAAGGCTGTTTGTCTATACCATATTAGACTTGAGCTGATTACAGTCAACAATCTTAAATCAGATTGTTTTTTTTTTTTTTGAGACGGGGTCTCACTCTATTGCCCAGTCTGGAGTGCAGTGGCGAGATGTTGAAGCTCAGCGCAACTTCTGCCTCCTGGGTTAAAGCAATTCTCCCACCTCAGCCTCCGAAGTAGCTGGGATTACAGGCAAGCACCACCACACCTGGCTGGGGGTTTCGCTATGTTTCCCAGGCTGCTCTCCAACTCTTCAGCTCAAGCTATTCGCCCTCTTCAGCCTCCCAAAGTGAGTATCATGATTCTTAATTTACTTCATCTATATGTAAGGCAAATCAAATAAGTACATATACTGAATTTTGGGGAGTCATGATTCTCATTACAGGAAATGGGAGATCAAGTTATAGAGTGAGAGAGGTGAGGAAAAACCATATATCACTGAATTTGAATTAGAGGTAAGAATTTATGAATAAGAAAAAAGTAACTAAGATTATGTATTCCCTAGTTTTTGTGTTAAATCACCACTAGCAATGAGCATATCTCATACTCAGATCTTGGTATCTTTCTTACTAAACTAGGAATCCTTAAAGAATAGTACATACAAGGTTTAGGGCAGAGGAATCAGAAAGTGGGCCCTGAGTATTTTGTTGCTTCAGAATTTAAGGCAGTCATGAAGGAATAAAGAAGACAACAGGTCAAAGTTGCCAGTTTGAAGTGGTTTTCAACAGCCAGTTTATATAATTTAAGTATCAAAAAGAATATTGCAAGTAATGTATAATTTCACATTGAATACATAAAAATCCATGAGTCCATAATATTAAAATAATTTTTTAAGAAATGAAAAGATAGAAAAGAGAAAAGAACTTTTAAACAGAGGAATGCCAGGTCATAAACATAGAAGGAATGATGTAATTAGAAAGTTTTTATTTTGTGTTCTATAGTATAATAATTGACTCAGGCAAGGATCATCAATAGATGTTAAATCCATTATATAAAACTGTGGAGTAGCATAATATTTACATAGTTTCAAGATATCACTGGACATTACTACTTATCAATAACATGGAATTTAAATATATCACTAGAATAAATAAGTCTGGCAGATCCTATCTTATCCAAGTGACTCAAACTTAGTGTCACCAATTATAGGACAAACTGGCATTGTGAGTCCTTCTGTATGATAAAATGGGAAGTGTGTATCATTGTCTGCATAACATTTTTTATCAAAATAGTTAATAAATTCAAGAGGAAATCATCACGTAAATCCAAATTGTATGACTCAAGACCATTGTCTTGGATTTTGTGAAAATGGAAATGTCATGAAAGTTAAATCAAAGGAGAATTATAGACTAAAGAAGGGTCAAGAGATAAAGTATCAATGGCAATGCATACTCCTTGACTGGATGCTGAGTCAGGCAACTGAAGACATCTGAATATGGACTGTCTATGAGACAATATTACTGTACCATTGTTAAATACTTCGCGTATTATAATGTTGTGATCATGTAGGAGATATAGGACGATGTTCTTCTTAGGAGATACATGCTGAAGTATTATAATATCAGACACTTATTTTTAAATAGTTCAGAAAAAAGCATATTTGTGTACATATACATCCATAAAATCTGTGGATGTATATAACTATTAATATAATCTACCTATCTATAATTACAAAGATAGAAAAAACAGATGTAGCAAAATTTTAATAACTGGTGAATCTAAATCAAGGTTTGACAAACTTTTTCTACAAGGACAGATGGTAGATATTTTAGGTTTTGGTCCATATGGTCTCTGTCACAACTACTCAACTCAGTCTTGCAGTGCAAAAGCAGCCATAGACAATACATAAATAAATGGGCATAGATTTGTTCCAATAAAACTACTGATAGAAGCAGATGACAAGCTGAAATTGTCCATGAAACTCTAGTTTGAAGATCCCTGAGCTACGTGAGTATTTATATGGGTGTTCATTTTACTTTTTTGTTTTGAAAATATTTAAAATAAAAAACATAGGAGAAATGACAATTCTGTACTGAAACAGAAATTATTCATTTTATTATAGAAGTGGAAATAACAGTATTTAATAAGAATTCATGTAGTCTTTATTTGCTGTAACGTCACTGCCTTTCTCAGCAAGATAAAGAGAAGGTTAGAGAGTACTTAGGTCCAGGTCTTTAGAAGCAAACAAAAAGCATGATCAGCCAGAGAATATTAAACTTCACATTCCTTGATCTGATGGGTTTTTTTTTTTTTGGTTTAAAAACTTAAAATTAATAGTAATCAATGGGAAAATAAGAAGCTTTTCCAAAAAAATCTTATTTGCATATCAAATGTGGGCATGTACTATTTTATCCACTATCTCTTACAAAACACATATGCTATAGGAAATTGAATACCATTACTTAGACTGTTTATGAATTCACTAATCTTGTGATATTTAACACATTAAAATATATGCTGTGTTGACACCAGCTTTCTTTTTGAGTAGTTGTTTGAAATTAAGTTACCTTAACAGATAAGACTCAAACATAAAGAAAATGCTTCCTCTATCACAGTTCTACATAGTCTGTCTCTCTCTCTCTCTCTGATTTAATAATTACCACTTGGCATTAGTTTTACAAGTGATTTCTTTTTTATCAATATTTTTTAACACAATTTTGTAAAGTGAATGTATGTTATAGTGGTGCATATATGTTATACATGCAGAATAAATAAATAAACAGATACATGATAGATATAGAGATAGAAGTAGAGAAAGAGAGAGAGAGATGCAGACATATTTTGTCCCACGGCACAGATAAAACCTTTGTGAAATCTCTTAGAAAACAGCTGCATTTGGCAGAATAGTCAAGAGAAGGCGAGGAATGATTCAGAGGATAGCAAGCCACAGAAAGGATGTCAGGCCATATGACATGGAGTGATAAGCAAATATCTGAAGATTAAGAAGGATGCCAAAACACAACCTGTCTTTTTTAAAGCTGATATCGTTGTAATCTGAGATAATCTAGAAGAGCTCATAGTCAGTTCTTTTTTTTCCCAGTCAAGTGAAATGCTCTTGACTATGTCATTTATATTTGAAAATAATTAACAAATGCAAGTTTTTAAAATGCTTGTTAAAATAGGCATAACTTGAGCATAAAAAATCTGCTTTAAAGCATATTAAATCCAGTTCCACAGATAAATTTGACAGGGAAATGATGAAAAAATAAGTTAACAGCAGCGATGGGGGTATTAATAAAAGTGTTAAGAAAATATGGAATGACGTTTGGCAAACAGTGTGGTCTCAAACTCTTGAAGTAACTCAACCTATATTCTCTTTTGATAAGGGGTAGTCTTTTAGAACTTTATATTAGTTTTCAGTATAAAATAATAGTATTTCATTCTAAGAAAGAGGAACATAAAATAGAGTTATCCATAATCTTCCCAAGCCTATAGCACTGTTGTTACCATCTAGTGGAATTCATTCCTCCATTTATTTTACTTAGGAAATCACACAGCACATAAAACTTTCTATCTTGCTCCATTAGTAGAAAGGGCTACTAATGGAAATGGAATTGTTCATTCATTCAAAATATATTTCTGAATGTCTTCTCTGTGCTTGGGACAGTGAAGGCCTGTTTTATTCTACAGATAAATATGTTTGCATTCCAATCAAGGCAACTTCCAGAAATACCTTTTGAAATTGCTTCTAGTTTAAATAAACGTTTATCATACGATGTATAGCTATGAAGTTAAAATTTCCAAAAACATGTTTATCTAATAGCTAAATCATAATAAAATAATATTGTGTCAGTAGGAAGTACGATATTATTTGCAATAACATTTGATTACCAGAGAAAATATTCATGTTCTCTAATCACAGATGATATTCAAGATGCTAGTAAAATTATTTAGAGTAATAAAAACTTAGAAGCCTAGAGGTTGCTCTTTGACAGATATAAATGTGCTTTAACAATTTTATCTTTATATTATGTGATTGTATTATTTGACTCTAGGCTACTCTTATTTAATGTCACCAGAATACAGATCCATGTTCTTCATATCTAATTGACTATAAACAAGTAGAGATCAGTCATTTTCATAACTTCCTTTTGTGTACCCTTCTAGAGGGCTTCTCTAGGACTCATATCTCACCATTAACAACAGAAACAACAAAAAAGGTGTAGACTCTTCTATAGTTGTCTTTGACATTAAAAATTCCAGCATTCCTTAGCTTCTTTTTTTGTAACAGCATTCTAGATCATCTGAAAGGCTAAAAAGTTAGATATGTCTCAATGACCCCAATAAAATATGATGAAGTTCCTTACTACAAAGAAATATATAAAATGTAAGAAGGGTACAGAAATTAAAATAATGTTCTGAGTTTTTAATCTTCTATATCAAATCAAATTCTAGTACTATAGATTAGCCTGATTAACTTATGAAATATAGTTGTGTCTTATGATCCCTACTAAAGACCTGCAAATGTTCCCCAGTGACTAAATCTCATACTCAGTATGTGTTTCATACTGAGATTTAGTCCCCAGTGAGTGAAACACATGATGCTGATGGTGTATATATGTATATATATATATGGTTTCAGGTGGACTTTAGAGTAAGTAACATAGTGATATTTACTATTTTTCTTTAATCCCAATTATTTTTAGAAAAAATTGAATATACTTTATATCCCACTTAAACAACTGTTTCTTAGTCTTTCTAATAGAGAAACTGGACTCAGGCTCAGTTTCTTGGGTCAAAAAGTATTTGACATGTAATAATATTTTATATTCTATTTATTCACACCATTATCTTCCATATCTAACAAGTAAAAAACTGCTACACTTTCCAAATTAATATAGGTAAACTTAAGTAAAAAGGATGAAAAATTCAGAGAAAATTGTTGATACAGTAGATATATGTGACTATGACAGAAAGAAAATTTATTTATGATGTGATACAGAGATACGGAAAATTATAGGAGCAGTACATTAATGAATAAAATTTAGGAAACACTGGCCCAGACTTGAGCTATCAAATAAGGATGCTACAGCCATATGCGTTTACTAGGCACGTGAAATCTGGATAGTCCAAGTTGAGATGATCTATAGGTGTAAAATACACACCAGATTCCAAATTCTATTTTTTATATTGATTATACGTTAAATGAGATGTTGAATGTATTGCATTAAATAAATGGTTTTTAAAAATTGATTTCATCACTTTGGGAGGCTGAGGCAGGCGGATCACCTGAGATCGGGAGTTCAAGACTAGCCTGACCAACATGAAGAAACCCCAACTCTACTAAAAATGCAAAATTAGCCAGGTATGGTGGTGCATGCCTATAATCCCAGCTACTTGGGAAGGCGGAGGCAGGAGAATCCCTTGAATCTGGGAGGTGGAGGTTGCAGTGAGCCAAGATCACGCCATTGTACTCCAGCCTGGACAACAGGAGTGAAACTCCATCTCAAAAACAAAAAACAAAAACAAACCAACAAAAAATTGATTTCCAGTGTTTCTTCTTTATTTTTTTTTAATGTGGCTGACTAGGAGAAAATGTGAAATTCCATGAGTCACCCAACTTGTTTTCCTATTTGGTAGCATTAGCCTTCCAGGAGCACCTCAGTCTTTTCAAATTTGTGTTCCAAGCCTTGTCCTACTCATCAAATAATTGAACTACTAGATATATCAAAGTTTTTAAGGTTTTGTACATCTAGGCCTTTATTCTACAACAGTGGTCTTCAAAATTTTCTGCTCATATAGTCTATAATTTTTAAAATCATATATACTATCACATATTTGTAGATTGATATCTAAATTTTTACAACAGAAATGTAAATAATTGCTAATGATATCATTTCCAGTATACTACTGTATCATTCTTTTGGAAAAAAAATAATATAAATATCATGGTTATTTGAAATCCACAATAATTCATTTTAAAAATATGTGAACAAGCTCTTTTTAGGAGTCAGAAATTTCATATTGTCCCTTTATCTTACTGAACTAACATTCTCATTCTATTTTGCCCATAGAATTTTTTTCAATTTAATATATGGTTATGCTTGAGATTTTTTACGGTTGTTCTATTTCTCTACACACACAATTCATATAAACCAATTTTTAAAATGCAGATCACAAGACTAAAAATCTTCTTTTTCTTTAGGATTAAGTTATCAATATAATCTTTTTTGTAAGCAGCTGCTTAAATTAATATACAATATGCTTAAATCGAATGTAAAATTGTATTAGAACTCTGTCTCTTAATGAGGTGGGTGTACCTATTTTCTAGTTTTTGACTACACGCATTTAAAAACATGTTCAGATACTGAGTAGATGGGAATAGAAAAGGCTTTGTTGTAACAATGTTACTTAATACTTTAAACTTCTTCTGAGTTATATTCCAAAACTACATTATCCACAATAAAATTATTAATTTATCAGCAAAAAAGATTCTCTTTTAATATTAAAAAGATAAATTGCTAAAATCAAGTCAGTTACAGCTTACATGAGTTAGAATTTTTACTTTCCACCATCCACATTAATATTTATGATTATCCTTTTGTTTGGTGTTTTGACTGTTTTCCCCTCTTGGGTGTTGCATCTCTGTATGGTAAAGGATGGACTACAGTGTGTTTTCTTTGATAAAGGGAAATGTATTTATGTGTATCATTATATTCTATATCTGACAAGTGAAAAACTGATACACATTTCAAATAATTACAAATACATTTAAGTAAATATGAAAAATTCAGAGAAAACATTGTTGATACAGTAAAGTATATGAATATGACAGAAATCAGAAAATGTGTTATGTTTTGATACAGAGAGATGGAAAATCGTAGCAGTGATACATGGATCAATAAAATTTAGGAAACACTGGCATAGATTTGGGCTATCAAATAAGGATGTCAAAGTCACATGTGTTTATTGGGAGACTGTGATAGGGAGACTCAATGGGGAATGCATGAAGCTTTTACATCAGAAGTGTTCCCATGAATTCACAAGAAAAGAATTCATAAGAATCTTAAGGATGTGGAAAATTAATCTTTAAAACTTTCTGTCTGCCTACCACTTTGAAAGTATTTGTGTACTATAGGGATACAGACATTAAATTTGAAGAACATATTCCTAGAATGGTTTCCTTCCTGTCTCATTGAATAAACAAATGAGAACACATTTGTTGTTATTTCCATTTAACTTATACAGAATCCTTCAAACTGTACTACAAGGCTACAGTAACCAAAACAGCATGGTACTGGTACCAAAACAGAGATATTGATCAATGGAACAGAACAGAGCCCTCAGAAATAACGCCGCATATCTACAACTATCTGATCTTTGACAAACCTGAGAAAAACAAGCAATGGGGAAAGGATTCCCTATTTAATAAATGGTGCTGGGAAAATTGGCTAGCCATATGGAGAAAGCTGAAACTGGATCCCTTCCTTACACCTTATACAAAAATCAATTCAAGATGGATTAAAGACTTAAACGTTAGACCTAAAACCATAAAAACCCTAAAAGAAAATCTAGGCATTACCATTCAGGACACAGGCATGGGCAAGGACTTCATGTCTAAAACACCAAAAGCAATGGCAACAAAAGACAAAATTGACAAATGGGATCTAATTAAACTAAAGAGCTTCTGCACAGCAAAAGAAACTACCATCAGAGTGAACAGGCAACCTACAAAATGGGAGAAAATTTTCGCAACCTACTCATCTGACAAAGGGCTAATATCCAGAATCTACAATGAACTCAAACAAATTTACAAGAAAAAAACAAACAACCCCATCAAAAAGTGGGTGAAGGACATGAACAGACACTTCTCAAAAGAAGACATTTATGCAGCCAAAAAACACATGAAAAAATGCCCATCATCACTGGCCATCAGAGAAATGCAAATCAAAACCACAATGAGATACCATCTCACACCAGTTAGAATGGCAATCATTAAGAAGTCAGGAAACAACAGGTGCTGGAGAGGATGTGGAGAAATAGGAACACTTTTACACTGTTGGTGGGACTGTAAACTAGTTCAACCATTGTGGAAGTCAGTGTGGCGATTCCTCAGGGATCTAGAACTAGAAATACCATTTGACCCAGCCATCCCATTACTGGGTATATACCCAAAGGACTATAAATCATGCTGCTATAAAGACACATGCACACGTATGTTTATTGCGGCATTATTCACAATAGCAAAGACTTGGAAACAAGCCAAATGTCCAACAATGATAGACTGATTAAGAAAATGTGGCACATATACACCATGGAATACTATGCAGCCATAAAAAAGGATGAGTTCATGTCCTTTGTAGGGACATGGATGAAATTGGAAATCATCATTCTCAGTAAACTATCGCAAGAACAAAAAACCAAACACCGCATATTCTCACTCATAGGTGGGAATTGAACAATGAGACCACATGGACACACGAAGGGGAACATCACACTCTGGGGACTGTTGTGGGGTGGTGGGAGGGGGATGGATAGCATTGGGAGATATACCTAATGCTAGATGACAAGTTAGTGGGTGCAGCGCACCAGCATGGCACATGTATACATACGTAACAAACCTGCACAATGTGCACACGTACCCTAAAACTTAAAGTATAATAATAAAAGAAAAAAACACTTAAAAAAAAACTAATACAGAAACTTTACCTGAAGATTTACTTTGATCCATATACCTAAAGGCAACCTCCTTCAACTCTGAACAGCCTTAAAATAATAATTACTACTGTTCTTATCACGTTTTACCCAAATTATAATTACCTTCTACACATATATCATCCTTGTCATACAGGAACGTTCACTGAGAATATGAACCATTTTTAACTTATCTTTCATCACAGCCCCCAGTACAGTTCCCTATTAATGAATTCAAGAACTATGAGACAATGATTAAACAATTTACAATAAAACAAATAACCCACATCATTAGAAAACGTTTTTTTCTTTTGAAAATTTGCAACACAGAAAAAATTATATACAGTGATGTTCTCAGGTGTCTGTTGCCAAGTTGTAGTCAACATGATACAAAACAAACCTCTGTGTGTGTGTGTAATAAATAGTAATATTTCACTATTTATTCTTAACTTATAATTTGGATTTTTATATGAACCAGACATAGTTAGGAATATGACAAGAAAAACAGTATAACATAAAGTAAACAAAGCTGTTATTAATTATATTACTTTAAGAGAGTCAGTATTCATGTGTATTTAATACTATATTTTGCATATAAATTGGAATTTTATTAGGCAGCAGTTTTAAAAATCAAGTCATTTACAATGGTATTCACTCAGAACTAATCCATAACCATTTTTAGCAAGAAATAAAAACATAGCATTATTTTATTTTATTCTTTAACAGCTTCATGAATGTATAACGTAACAAAAAATTCACCCAAAGTGTATGATTCCATTATTTTTAGTAAATGTACAGAGTTGTGCAATCAGCACAGTCCAGTTTTAGAACATATATCCTATTTTGAAATCATTCTCTGAAGTCACCATATAGAGAGGTAAAGTAACCTAGCTTGTAGCCCATGGCCCCCAGATCCTCTCAGACGCTCCTCCAAAAAGGACTACAGAATTAGCGTAATTGTGACAGTTCTGTGACACAGGTCACTGAACAAAAATCTATGTTTTTCAAATACACTTTCTATTTTTAACTAACTGTTAAGAAAAATAAATCAGACTCCTCTGACACTTCACACCACCTGCTTATTTAGCACAGATTCTGTCTGTTAGGATTTCCAACTATCAAAAAAGGATTGGAGAAAAAAGGAGACACAATCTCACATGCATGTTTCATCTCACTACTACATATTCTGGTTCGTGTGCAATATCTAGAGATTAATGGATGTGCTGTTTGGATATTTCACTGTCATCTCAAACTCTGTGTGTCTGAAACTGAAGTATCATTTCACTCCACCCCCATAGGCCTCACTAAATTAGACTCCTCCAGCACAGTTTCTCTGTCAGTTACATGACTATTGCCTTGCTTACCCTAAATATTTCACGTGTTCTTCATGTTCCAATAGCCAACCAATTTTGAACTTAAATACTTTTTTACATTAAGTTTTCTTTCTTTTAAATGCTTTCTTTCTTTTAAATGCTTTCTCTTGCTCTCTCTCTGCCTCCCTCCCTCTCCTTCTCTCTTTCCCTCTCCTTCTCTCTTTCCCTCCCTCCCTCCCTTTTTCTTATGCTATCTTTCTTAGTCTGACTACCGGCAAACACCCTCCCTAGCATTCGTCATCTGACCCTAGATCTGGGGTTATGACTTCACACCTGAATTAATATAACCATTTCCTTGGTAAATTCTTGGGGTCATATCTCAAGTAGCTGAAACAAACCTAAAATTGATGTTAATTTCACTAGCTTCCTAACAATTTTCACCCTCTTTGAAACTGTGCTGTAGGCTTCAGTTTACGTGCCTTCATAATTTCATTGCCCCCTATATAATATAGATTTGTTTCAGCAGATAAATGGCAATGTCTGAATTTGTTTTAAATGATGAACTCATGAGGGGAAGGTAGGTGTCATGGCTGAAAATAAGTACTGTGAGAAAAGGCTAATCTGTAAATCTATCACCTGAATTTCATTGTAAAAATTTCTAAGTGTTTCCTCACAGGACTTATGCTCGGCCATAACACACACCTTCCCCTCATGATGTCATCATTTTGAACAAATACAGACATGGCCATTTATCTGTTGTGTAACCTAGGGCAAATTTCTTAACACCTTTGATCTACTTCTTTCTTCTGCATAATGGGGAGAACACCCACCTTATAGAGTTGCTATGTGGATTGCATGGGACAATGCATATAAAAGCAACTTGTACCGACTTAAAATAGAAAGCTAGTATAAGTGTTAATTTCCTCAGTTCTCCAGCCTTCATCATATTCTTTTGGAATACTATTGCAATTCTCTTTGTCCACACAGGTAATACGGAACAAAATACCATATATTGAAACCATTTTAAGATCTGCTTCTGCTTTTTACTCCAGATTTATTACATGTTTTTCTCAATACTGCCTTTTAATCTTATACTATGAATTATGAATAACCTCAAAATGCTTGCATAATTTTTGCTCCTGTGCATTTTCTCACAAATACTATTTCCTCTTCCTCAAAATTCCTTATCCTGTCTTCTGTTCTTTCCCCAATATACTTTCTACTGCTAGTCATTTAGTAATCAATTCATGTCACCTTCTCCTAGAAGCCCTGAAGCCCTTCTCTTTTAATCTAAGTATTCTTTTCTGTGTTACACAACACTCTCATAAGATTATAATTAAATTTATCACATTCTATGAAAATTATCTTTTCATTCATCTCTCATTCATCTGAGACCATCTTGAAGAACAAATCATTTCAATCATCTTTGCATATTCTGTGTACTGCCTGGCCCATTTTAAAGACTGGAATAATATTTGCTAAAAAGGCAGATTTCTTATTAAATTTCAATTCATTTTCCTAATAATGCTTTATATGTTATACGTTAGTCTGGTCTGACAAATAAAGTATAAGTTCTTTGTAAGCAGGATCATATAATACTTCTGTTTTTCATAATTCCTAATATAATACTTTCCATATAGGTTATAAATAGCTGTTGATTGGTTGAACAATTAAATAAAAAAAGAAACTTACAAGGAGCAAAAAAAGGGAGGGTTTGAAGTGGTATGAACCACAATGTTGTCATTAAGGTCAACCTTGAGGACAGTGTTTTTCTGCATAATACTCAGAAAGATGGCTGGACTTGGAGAAATATACTGCTAGCAAAGCTAAAGCAAAGTTATTATACCTTAACATCAAAGCAACAGTATGACAACACTTTCACTAAATTGTCCAAACGTTTGGTAAAGATTAGTATTTTGTTTCTAAAATACTGCTTCTACAATTAAGCAAAATGTTTATAAAAGAAAGAAGCTGCTGTAATTCTGTATAATAATCATAAAATAATAACAGTTACTATTTTTAGAACCTTCTGTGCGGCAGATACTTTCTGGTTAATTCACAAATATCATTTCTAAACTTTAAAACAAAGTGGGATTTATCATACTTTTATATATAAAGGAACTAATATATAACCAGAAAGATTAACTAACTTGTCTTAGCTTACATAGCTACTAAGTAGCAGAGTCGGAATTCAAGCTCAGATTGTTCTGTATCCAAAGTTTACATAAGATATTGTGTATTGGGTTGAGAGTAATACCCTCCCCAAAATTCATGTTCTTCCTGGAACCTTAGAGTACGACCTTATTTGGAAATAGGGTCTCTGTAGATATAATCAAGTTAAAACGAGATCATACTTACTTAGGGTGGGGCACTTATAGTATGGGTCCTTATAAGGAGAGAAAACAGAAACAGACTGAGCCACACAGCTCCATGTGAAGATGAAGGAAGAGGTATTTGTAGATATAATCAAGTTAAAATGAAGTTATAATTAGAGTGGGGCACTTATAGTATGGGTCCTTATAAGGACAGAAAATATAGAAACAGAGCTACACAGAAAGAGCTCCATGTGAAGATGAAGGAAGAGGTCTTTATAAATAGAATCAAGTTAAAATGAACTTATAATTAATTAGGGTGGGGCACTTATAGTATAGGTCCTTATAAGGAGAGAAAATATAGAAACAGAGCCACACAGAAAGAGCCCCATGTGAAAATGAAGGAAGATATTGGAGTGATGCATCTTCAAGTGAAAACACACCATGGATTGTTGACAATACCAGAAGCTAAGAGAAACGAATGGATCACATTTTGCCCTAGTGCCTTCAGAGACAACACGACCCTGCTGACTCCTTGATCTGAGACTTTTTAACTCATCTGGTTTGTGCTAATTTGTTATGGCAATCCTTGGAAACTACACATATTGTGATATATATGACACATGTATAAAAAGACGTTATTGCCAGAAAGTTTGGCATTAGCACATGTTGTTTTAGTCAAATGTTTCTCAGGAAAAAAAAAAAAAACCCTCTATTGTTTTCTATATTACTTCTGGCTATATTAAGTTTTAGAATTTTTTAAAAGTTATTTCTTTTTATATAATACATGGCTTAAATAATTCCAAATCTCTTATTTAAAATAACTCATTCTTTTATAATTGGTATTTTAAGCCTCATTTCTTTCTTATATAACAAGAATATGCAAGAAAGAGTTAGTGAAAGTACATCTATAAGATCTGCAAAATTGTAAAGTTTAAATAACTTGAGAATGGGTGACAAGGCTAAAATTTACCTAAGCATCTTTGTAAATGTTCAAAGATCTTACCACAGCAAGTCTGGCAATCATTCCATTCTTTGAGTGTGTATTTAATGAGACAACTCTGATTTCTAGTGATCTTAGCAGGGAAAAGTCACATCAGCTTACTCATTGTGCTTCGATTTGTGACAAGATGCAATCTACCTTTCCTGAAACTTCTTCTTACTTTAATAGTCTTTGGTATTTATATTGGCAGGAAAATAACAGAAAATTGTCTGTGAAAAGGCAATGCTAATCTATGCAAATAATACACAATTGATGTGACTATACCTCTGGACTGCAATCATATACTTAGAAGGGACCTATAAAAAAACATAGGTAGAGATCTTACTAAAGAAACCCATAATTGATCGTAACTTTTCTTCCAATCTTTATTTCCCAGGCTATCTTTACAAGGTCTATTCTGCTGTTCTTAGACATAGGCAATACTTCCTCACCATAAAGGAAACATTTAAGAAACTAAACAGGAGAATCTGATTTTATTCATAGTATTCTTGTTTCTCATACTTTAATAGACAACCTGAAAAAATAATGATCTGTCAAATCATAGGCTTTATTTAGCCCAGACTCTTGTTAGTCAACTTTTCTACCTTCCAGTTAAATGTATGCAAGGATATAGTAATAATTAATATATGGGGGAGGGATATTTCCTTTGATTTTATTAACATTAGTTAAAACAAAATCTTTTTAAAAGCAAAAGCTATTGAATATTTCTAAATGAGTTTGCCAGCTTTTATTCATAATCATACCTTGTGATAGGTTTTAATATTAAAATGTCACTTGAAAAATATACTTCTTCAGTATAAAAATATACTTCTTAAGGAGTTAAGAGTAGGAAGGCAGCTTAGAAGTAATCTATTAAACTTCTTTCAGGGTCTCTAATTCCCATTACAGATACTATAACACAACCATAACAGAATGAAAAAGCTATGAAAGACACTTGCAGGAAAGTGAGAATATAAACCACAGACTGGAAGAAAATATTTGCAAAAACATATCTTACAAAGGAACTGTCATCCAAAATGTACAAAGAACATTTAAATGTTAATAAAAAAAATCCCAATTAAAAAACAGAAAAAAATCTCAAAAGAATTCACTAAAAAAGATATACAGATGGCAAATAAGCATATAAAAATGTTCAAAATAATACTTCATTAGGGAATTACAAAGTAAAACAACAATGGGACGCAACTACATACCTTTTACAATGCCCAAAATCTAGAACACTGACAACACTAAATGCTGTTGAGAATGTGAAGCAACAGGAATTATTTCATTCGTTGCTGACAGGAGTGCAAAATGGTACAGTCACTTTGGAAGACAGTCTGTCAATTGTTACAAAGTTAACATACTCTTACCATACAATTCAACAATTGCACTCCTTGGTATTTACCTAAATGAGCTAAAGACTTATCCATGCGAAAATCTGTACACAGCTGTTTATAACAGTTTCATTCATAATTAACACCGTTTGGAAACCACCAAGATGTCATTCCGCAAGTGAGGCATATCCAGATAATGGAGTATTTTTCATTGCTAACAAGAAATGAGCTATCAAGCCTTAAATGAGTATTACTAAGTCAAAGAAGTTAACCAGAAAATACTACCTACTGTATGATTCCAACTATAATACATTCTGGAAAAGGCAAAACTGTGGAAATAATAACATGATCAATGATTGCCAGGGCTTGGGGGCAGAGGGGAATGAACAGTTCCAGTATAGAATATTTTTAAGGCATTAAAACTACTCTGCATGATACTATAATGGTGGGTAGATGTTATTTTACATTTGTCAAAACCCATAGAATGTGCATCACCAAGAGTGAACCCTAATGTAAACTACTGATCTGGGGTAATAAGTATGTGTCAAATGTGGCTCACAGACTGTAACAAGTGTACCACTCTGGTTCAGGGATGTCAATGATAGGGAGGCTCTGTGTGGCAGAGAAGGCAGGAAGTAAATGAGTACTCTTCTACCTTCCACTTAATTTTGCTGTGAACATAGAACTGCTTTAAGAAACAGTCTATTTAAATTAAAAAATAAACAAAATATGATCCTTATAACTTATACCACAACTTCTCTTAGGAGGTAATTGTCTCTGTTTAAGAAAATAAATGTGTAAACTTTTAGGAGTACAAGTTGAACCCTTAAGGCATGAGTTGAGAAAAATCAGCAAATAAGAGAGATGGCTAAAACTTTTCAACATTATAAATGTTCAGAATGTAAGGGTGAAGGAGAGAAGAATAAAAAATAGTTTGAGAGGGAAAAGACTGCAGTATGTGAGCTAAATGGTGGAGGAGTAGCTAAGGAGCTTTTAAGACAGAAATGTGTATATTCCTTTTAGAAGGTGTTTGTATTCATGAACTGTTAAGGATCTCCATCTTTACTCTCATCTTACCACAACCAGCACTAATATTTAAAACATTTAACAAGTCATATAGCATGGACAATCATCAATGAAGATACACACGCTAAGCAATCAAATGGACAACAGCCATAAAGCCAGTTTGGCCTTACACCACTACCTATGACCTAAACGATAGCCCTGAATTTACCCTCAGACTGTCACACATAAATGTGTTGTATCAGAAGGTGTTTTTTTGTTTTTTTGTTGTTGTTATTTATTTTTTTTTTTTGGCAGGGTGCCGTGGCTCAGGCCTGTAATCCCAGAACTTTGGGGGGCTGAGGCGGGCAGATCACTTGAGCTTAGGAGTTCAAGACCAGCCTAGCCAACATAGCAAAACCCCATTTCTACTAAAAATACAAAAATTAGTTGGGTGTGGTGGCACACACCTGTAATCCCAGCCACTTGGGAGGCTGAGGCATGAGAATTGCATGAACCCAGAGGTGGAGGTTGCAGTGAGCCGAGATCATGACACTGCACCCAAGCCTGGGTGATGGACTGAGACTCTGTCTCAAAAAAAAAAAAAAAGGAAGTGATTTCTTTTTACCTGTTTTTTTTTTTTTTTTTTCAGTAAAAATTTGGACAGAGACTCACATCTGCTTAAAACTGTGAGCTGCTGAGATAGTTTAGTGGGGCCACAAGCTGATAAACTAGTGCAAGCAGAAGCCAAAGGAGATCCTGATAATGTGAGACAGGGAGAAATATGGGACATTTAGATCTTATTTTATGCCCATATGCAGGATATTTTAGCCCTTCCTTTCGCAGTGTTTAGGGTGAAAACTATAATGACAAAAAGCAGGCCGGGCGCGGTGGCTCACGTCTGTAATCCCAGCACTTTGGGAGGCTGAGGCGGGTGAATCACGAGGTCAGGAGATCGAGACCATCCTGGCTAACACGGTGAAACCCCATCTCTACTAAAAATACAAAAAATTAGCCGGGCATGGTGGCGGGCACCTGTAGTCCCAGCTACTCGGGAGGCTGAGGCAGGAGAATGGCATGAACACGGAAGGCAGCGCTTGCAGTGAGTCGAGATCTCGCCACCGTACTCCAGCCTGGGCGACAAAGCGAGACTCCATCTCAAAAAAAAAAAAAAAAAAAAAGCAAATATGGCTTAAAATGTTATAAATCCTTAAAGGATCTCAGACCCACACATTCTTCAATTGTTACATATTGTTGAGTCCCTACGATAAACAAGACTTATTTTTTATAGTTTGTGCCTTCCTATAGGTTATAGTCAAAAAGCAAATGAATGTAAAGGTGACTTTCCCCAGGACAGACAACTACAGACTCTCTTCATTTCTTGGATAATCACTTGTATATTCTATTCTTCCTGTGACCTCATGCTGCACTCTTACTGAAACTGTGTGGCTACGGCATAGCTAAGATTTGATTTTAAGAGCCTTAATTTAACTCAAATAAAGCAGTTACTTTTTTCTACCGGATAATGCTTTTCAAAAATTCTAAAGTGGCAATTGTTTTATAATACCATGGGGCCTGTGTTTGTAGAGGTTAATTATGAAATCAGAATTTTAATGAAGCCCTTTATTTATGTAGAAAACTATAAATAATAAACTCAAACCTTAAAACATCGTTTTTAGTAATAACATGAATGGAAAACAGTGAATATAGTTAGTAAGTCAAGAACCTATATACAAAACACAAATTATAACATTTACTTCATTTATGGTTTCTTATTTTATCACTTATTTTCCTCTTTAAATAATTACCTAACATTCCAAGAATGTTTGATGGCATTTTTTAAGTCACACTGGATTGTCTGTTAATCTACTGACCAATTTATCTTTTCATTTATTCAGTTATTCATCCCAATCACCAGAGTAGTTTGCTAATGACATTTTAGCTAGCAATTTAAATCTCCTCTAGAGGATAGCAAGAGAAAAGTTCAGCAATGTCCTAGGTACATCATAGAGAAATGGGTAAGATATTTTAAATGAATTCGCCTCTTCCAACTTTCTGAAAAACAAAGCGCTTCCTCAATAAAGGCTGTCATTGGATCACCTTTAAATACACAAAACAGAAAATTTTAATGTATTCCTGTAGGCAGAGAGGGAGCAATTACATACGGTTTCTAATTCTGTGCTGCTATAATGAAATAACTTAGTCTGAGTAATTTACAAAGATCAGATTTTTTTTTTTCTTACAGTTCTGAAGGCTGGAAGTCCAAAATCAAGGTACCAGTGGATTTGGTGTCTGGTGAGGGATAGTTCTCTCTGCTTACAAGATGGCACTTTGAAGACTACATCCTAAGGAGAGGATGAATGTTGTGTCCTCACATGGCAGCAGGGACAGCAGGGCAAAAAGCCAAATGCTATGTGAAGCCTCTTTTATAATCCCATTCATAAGGGAGGAGTCTTCCTGACCTAATCAGCTTGTAAAGACCCCACATTTGAATGCTGTTTCCTTGGGGATTATGTTTCAACATGAAGTTTGAAGGCAACGTGAACATTCAAACTATAGCCTATGACAACTGAACTTGGCTTATAGAAAAAATTCAAAAATATTTACACCAGTAATTAAAAGGCAGCCTATATTATTACAGAGCAAATAACATGTCCAGATGATAATAATCTGACATATTACTGTGAAAAATTAGGAGTGCTGGGACTTTAAACTGTACTATGCACGGAATGTTTTATCATTGAATTTATATAGAGAGAGGTGGGTAAATTCTCCTTTGGGTGAAAATATAAATTATTGAATAAATTGTCAAATAATATAATTTTAAATTTGGTACTTTCTGTATTTCCCATTTAAATACTTCTCTCTCTTTTGGGGACTGGGAACTAAGTTGTTCAGTCAAACTGTAATCTTGTCCCATGTAAGCCTTATTTTTTATTTTTGAATTAATTAATTTATTTTTTGAGATGGAGTTTCACTCCTGTTGCCCAGGCTGGAGTGCAATGGCACAGTCTTAGCTCACTGCAACCTTCGCCTCACAAGTTCAAGCAATTCTCTTGCCTTAGCCTCCTGAGTAGCTAGGATTGCAGGCACCCACCGCCACACCCAGGAAGTTTTTGAATTTTTAGTAGAGACGAGATTTCACTATGTTGGTCAGGCTGTTCTCGAACTCCTGACCTTAGACAATCGACCTGCCTCAGCCTCCCAAAGTGCTGGGATCATAGGCGTGAGCCACTGCACCCTTAAGTTATAATCGTGAGGGATGAACATCTCACTTCCTTCACACTGAAGGAGATGAGGTTAACACTTCAGTTGGTTAATTAATTGAAAGACCACGTGACTTTTGCCTATATTAGCTTTAAAGCAAACTCCAAAGCCAAAATAGTTAAATCTGCTTTCTAACCACACCACTAGAAGCAGAAACAGATGCTCCAGGCTATAGATTGCTCACAAAAGATTCTAATGAGATGGAAAAGTATCAATATAAATTGCACCTTATCTCTGATGCTTTAAGAGGGAATATTCTCAAAGATTATGTTTAGAAAGATATTGTTCGTGTGATAAGTATAAATGCTCAAACTTAATTTCACTTATTGCATGTGGTATTTCTAATTCTTCTGTCTCTTAAGGAAGAGCTCCACAGTATATTTAGTTAGATTCTGGCAACATTTACTCTGTCTTCCTGGGAAAACAAAATTTATTATCTTTTTTTTTTCCCCTTACAGAGGAGGTAAGAGTGGTAGCTTTTTTTTTTAGCTACCACTCTTCTATCTTAGCTCTCAGATAGAAAGGAACATATTCAAATTTCTTAAACTTTAAACACATTATTCCTGGAATTCATAAAACTTGTTAGAGATATATCAATCTGATGTAGTTACAATATTGCTATAATGGATGCTTATAGTTTGGTGCTCTACAAGTAAAATGAATTAGTAGTTGAGGTATAAGACTATAATCACTGAAATTCTCTTTCCAAACTGTCAAAGAAACATTTCTTATTTAGAGGTAAGATAGATATTAAATCTTATGTTAAAAGCTTCAAATCTTTTGTGATGAAAAGACATGAAATATAGAGAGAAAAACATCTCAAGGTATATTAATTTAATGTAGATTTACACATAATATGGAGATTTAATTCCTCAAAAATTTAAAAAGAAGGTATTTATTCACATACAGGCTAGCTATTATAACAGACACAAGAATCAGAGTTTATTTTTCTCTCATATATCAATCCACAGACGAGCCAACATTTTTAGGCTAAGTGGCTATGCTGTAGTTCACTTTTGGTTTTAACTTATACATGAATGGTAGATGGGACAGTTTCTGCCATCTCCCAATAAGCAGTAAGGAGGAAGGGAGCAAGAAAGTCAACATCCCATTGTTTCAAGGGAAAAAATTAGTAGTAGCATTCATATCCCCGTGGCCAAAGCATAGTTATGTGGCTACACTTAGCTGTGAAGGAGACTGAATGTGGTGGCCACCAATCTTACCTTCCAGGAACCATGATAAAATAATATATAACTAAAATAGACTTGCTTTAAGAGTTGTGCTAGATGAAAATATAGTAGGAAATATAAGCTGATTGTCCTTTTAACCCACATGAGAAAATTCTATTGGAATTAAAACAGTAATGTCCAGATTCAGATAGCATTTTACATTCATTAAAGTCTTTTACTGGATTTTGAAAACAACTAGACTCAAACTGAAAGTATTCCAGGGGAAATTTATCTGAAATCCTAAGACTGGGCCACTGAGGTGTCAGGTGCTCTTTTTAATTTAAAGTATTTAAAAAGAATATCTAATATTTGATTTTAAAATATTTCAATGCCAGATAATATTTACTGAGACTATATAATGTGCCAAGCATTGTTCTAAGGGTTTTTCATATAGTAACTAACTTAATCTTTACAAGGATCCTTTGAAGTAGGTACTATCATATTAAAGGTTAGAAGATTGAGAATCAGAGAGATGAAATGTTTCTTACTGTGTTTTTTACATCTTTTTTCCCCATTCTTTTTTCTTTTTTTTAATCCCCCTCTCTCTGAATATAGGTTGAGAATCCCTGTTCCCAAAATGCTTGGGACCAGAGTATTTTTTATTTTAGATTTTGGAATGCAAAGTTTGAAACAAAGTTTGTATACACTGAACCATCAGTAAGCCAAAGTATCACTATCTCAGCCACCCATGTGGATAATCTGTAGTTTTCTGACATCACCATCATGCCTGAATGTTGACTGAATACACATGCTAATGATAAGCAAGGTGAATTCCACCTCTGGAAAGACTGAATTATGAAGAAATGGAAAATCTGAAGAAACCAATAATGAGTAAGGAGACTGTGATGGTAAATTTAATGTGTCAACTTGACTGGCCTAAGAGATACTCAGATGGCTGGTAAAATATTATCTCTAGGCATGTCTGTAAGGAAGTTTCCAGAAGAGATTACCATTTGAATCAGTAGAGTGAGTAAAGAAGATTTGCCTTTACCAGTGTAAATGGGCATCATGCAGGCCATTGAGGACCTGGATAGAACAAAAAAGTAGAGAAAGGGCAAACTCAGTCTTTCTTCTGGAGCTAGGACATTCATCTTTTTCTGTCCTCGAATATAATTGTTCCAGGTTCTCAGACCTTCAGACTCTGGGACTCCAAAGTGAGCACTCCACCCCACTCAAGTTCTCAGGCCTTTTGAACTGGGCTAAAAGGTACAGTATTGGGTCCCCTGGTTCTCAGGCCTTTGGACTCTCATTTAATTATACATTGGCTTTTCTAGTTCTCCAGCTTGCACAGAGCATATTGTAGAACTTTCTGGACTCCAGAATTCCATGAGTTAATTCTTATTATAAATCCCCTTTTTAACACGCTGTCTCTCTCACTCTCTCTCTCTCTATGGATTGTTCTGCTGGAGACTGACTAATACAAAGATTGAATCAGTAGTCTTAAACTTCCCAACAAAGATAAGCCCAGGATTTGATGGCTTCGAGTTGAATTCAACCCAACATTTGAATTAATGAATAATTAATCCCAATATTTCTCAAACTCTCCCTAAAATTAAAGAGGAGGGAATGCTTACAAACTCATTGTACAAGACTAACATTACCCTCATACCAAAGCCAGATAAGAATACAAGAGAAGCATAGGGCAATATATCCCTGAAAAATTCAGATGCAAAAATCCTCAACAAAAAAACTAGCAAACTCAATTCAGCAGCACATTAAAAGGATAATTCACTATGATTGGATGGGATTTAGACCTGGGATGCAAGGATGACTCAACAAACACAAATCAATAAATGTGATACACCACATTAATAAAATGAAGAATAAAAATCATGTGATAGTATCAATAGATAAAAAGCATTTGACAAAATTCAACATTCTTTTATGATTAACAACTCTCAAACAATTAGATATAGAGAAGAAATGCACCTTAACATAATAAAGCCATATATGACCAGCCCAAATCTAATATCACACTCAATGATGAAAAACTATTTTCATCTATGATCAGGAACAAGACAAGAATGCTGGCCGGCCGGGTGCCGTGGCTCATGCCTGTAATCCCAGCACTTTGGGAGGCCGAGGCGGGTGGATCACAAGGTCAGGAGATCGAACCATCCTGGCTAACACAGTGAAACCTCGTCTCTACTAAAAAATACAAAAAAAAGTTAGCCAGGCATGGTAGCAGGCGCCTGTAGTCCCACCTACTCGAGAGGGAGGCTGAGTCAGGAGAATGGGGTAAACCCGGGAGGCAGAGCTTGCAGTGAGCAGGGATCGTGCCACTGCACTCCAGCCTGGGCTACAGAGCAAGACTCTGTCTCAAAAAAAAAAAAAAAAAAAAAAAGGATGCTGACTTCTATTCAATATAGTATGGGAAATCTCAGCCAGGCTAGGCAAGGAAAAGAAATAAATATATTCGAATTGGAAAAGAAGTAAAATTGTATCTGTTTACAGATTACTTTATCTTATTTTTAGAAAACTGCAAAGACTCCACCAAAAACTGTTATAACTGATTAAAAATTAGTAAAGTTGCAGGATACAAAATCAACATACAAAAATCAGTAGTACTTCTATACACTAACAACAAGTTATAGAAAATGAAATAAAGAAGGCAATATTTTTTATAATCACATCATCAAAAGAATCACAGGAATAAATTTAACTAAGGGGGCAAAATATCTGTACACTGAAACTACAATACATTGATGAAAGAAATTGAAAAAGGCACAAATAAATGAAAGGATATCTCATATTTATGGATTGAAGAATGAATATTGTTGCAATGTCTGTACTATCCAAAACTATCTACAGATTCAATGCAATCCCTATCAAAATTCCAATGCTATTTTCCACAGCTATAGAAAAATAATCTTAAAATTTATATAGAACCACAAAAGAACCTGAATAGCCAAAGTAATCTTAAGTAAAAGAACAAAGCTAAGCCATCACACTACTTGATTTCAAGATTACTATGACACTATAATTAACAAAACATCATGGTACCGACACAGAAACAGTCATGTAGACCAGCAGTCCCCAGCCACACAGGGCTGGTTTCGTCGAAGACAATTTTTCCACAGACAGCAAGAAGAGGGCGTAGGGCAGTGGAGATGGTTTCAGGATGAAACTATTCCACCCTAGACCATCAGGCATTAGATTCTCATAAGGAGTGCACAACCTAGATCCCTCACATGCTCAGTTCACAATAGGGCTCTGCTCCTGTGAGAATCTAATGCATGCAGCCACACATCTGGCAGGAGGTGGAGATCAGGCAGTAATGCTTGCTTGTCTGCTGCTCACCTCCTGCTGTGCTGCCCAGTTCCTAACAGTCCATGGACCAGTAGTGGTCTGTGACTGGGGGTGGAGGACCCTTCATGTAGACTAGTGGATCACAATAGAGAGTCTGGAAATAAATCTAAGCATTTACTGTCAGTTGAAATTTGATAAATTGCCAAGAACACACACTGAGAAACAGAGTCTCTTCAATTTTTGTTGGGAAAACTAGATATCCACAAGCAGAAAAATGAAATCAGAACTGTGTCTCACACTATATACAAAAATCAAATCAAAATTTGCTAAAGACAAATGGAAGTCCTGAAATTGTAAAAGCACTAGAAGAAAATGTAGGGAAAAAAATATTCTTGCCATTGGTTTGGGCAAGGATTTTTTTAGTATGACCCCAAATGCACAGTTGTTCTTTTAAATAGAAACTAAAATACTTGCAGGCAACCTTGATGTGGTAGTGGTCACATCTGATCTTAAAAGAGCCAAGACTTCTTAACCTTTCAAAATCCTTTTAGTGTTACTTTTTTGGTAATACTTCCCTGAACATATTTGTCACCTCCACCAATGGAAGTCCAATTTCATCACTGGTCTTCTTGGCTAGTTCTACAACCTGAGTATAGCCCTATTCTTTCAATCATCACACTATATTGTATTTGTTTATTTGACTGTCTTCCTTACTATTTATAAGTGCCTTAGAATCAGTGCCCATCTTTTTAAATGTTTGTGTCACATGTGCCTAACAAAGCAATAAAAATTTTCAATGAATTAACTATTGAATTGAAAAAAAAAAATGTCTTCAGGTCATATACAAGGCTTAACTAAGGTTGGCAGGAATAAGAAAAGCAAATATTTGAAATTTATGTTGCTGGCCCCTTTGGGATCCACAGTAGTAAAAATAAAGTATCAATCATCATTTTTTGCATCTAAGCCTAAATAAAATCCTTTTAACAGAGAAAGGTGCTATCAAAAGAAGCTTACATAAAATGAAAGCTATTTACAAGGCTGCCATATAAGCTGGCAGAGCAAAAAACTCATTAGCTGAGCATGGTAGTACTACTATTTTCCATCCTTAGCCCCAGTTTTAACTTATAAAACCAATATACCCTAGTAAGAGTATCTGTAGATAAATGAACACCGAGCCTTTGGAAAAGAAGACAAAATAAATTTGGGATAAAAATGTTTACTGATATTTCTGGGAGGGTTACAGAAGTGTAGAGTCAGTTTACATTGACCTTAGTGAAGCTTTATTTTTTTCTTCCAGCATTTAAAAAGTTGTACCTTCTTTTCTTCAATTCTGTTTTACCATTGTTCTAATTCAGAAATTTATAAGGGTGAGCAGGGAGGTAAAAGCAGCAATCCATGCCCATCAGGGAATCGTTTCCAAACCAAGAACATATATTTTAGGTCTGCCAATAAAAACGCTTAATGGAGGAAATTTGCTGAAATGCCAAGCAAGACTTACGTGTGCTTTTTTCCCACCTTCTGTGTACAAGATCAATGATGACAATCAATCAACTACTTGGAAGGACTGATCTTTGTAATTGTGATATCGAATAGTAGGGGAAATGAAGGAATAGAACGCTAAAAATAACGCCTGCCTTACAGTTTTGGAATTTAGGTCTTAATATGCAGCTATGGCATTGGCAGATAAGCCAACTATTCTTCTCTTTCCCTACATAGTATGTGCTTTACTTCTTCTGTGCTTAAAGAGTCGCAGTCTTTCTGAGTACAGGGTTAGCATCTCCACATCACAATTATAGCTGTTATAAGCACCTCCAACTTTTTTTTTTTTTTTTTTCTGAGACAGGGTCTTACCCTGTTGCCCAGGCTGTAGTGCAGTGGCACAATCACTGCTCACTGCAGTCTAGACCTCCTGGGCTCAACCAATCCTCCCATCACAGTCCCCTGAGTAGCTGGAACTGCAGGCAGCTACCACTACACCCAGCTTTTTTTTTTTTTTTTTTTTTTTTTTTTTTAACTTTTTGTAGAGACGGGGTTTTGCTATGTTGCCCAATCGGTCGCTAACTCCTGGGCTCAAGTGATCCAGTTGCCTCACCCTCCAAAGTGCTGAGATTACAGGCATGAGCCACAGGGCCCAGTCCCAACATTGTTTAGTGGGAACACTATCTCCTAGGTGTCTTACGTCCTTAAGAGACTTGTTGCTCTGTGTTTTCTTTCTGTTTGTTTGTTTGTTTGTTTGTGGGGGCCAGAGGTTTACAATCTCTGTAAATCAGAGTAACTTTCTTTTGAAGAGCAGTTAATACTTGTCTCTCCTCTGTGAAAAAGAGGACAGTTAGATATTTGCAATAGAACTGAAAATTGGTTGCTTTGTTTACAAAGAGAAATTAAATGAACCTGAATGCTCTGGTCTGGAAGCACTATTCTGGTGATATGGCCTTAATCAACTCAGAGGTCCTTCTTTGGAAGTATATGTCTTCCCCCTCCCCCATTTCCAATATGGCAACATGTAAATTTTTCTTTTTAAGGGTTGAAATTTTTCACATTGCATACTGGTTTTGATGGGGGTACAAAAGTCAGGGTAAAAAACATTTCTCATTTTTGTGCTTTAGTTTAAGTTCTATTCAACATTTACTGCTTCTGAATAACTATGTTATATGGGTTTAAGTAATAAGATGAGAAGAATTAAATTATTAGAGAAAATCTGTGGAAGTGGACGACCTTAATACTTATCTATATTTAGTCAAGAATCTCTTAAGATTTCACTGAGCTATTGAAATGACTTGCCTTTATCATTAGGGAGTTATTTACATTTATGATTTTACAATGGGCTTCTAAATAGGTTTGACTTTTTACACGTACTAAGAGGCCACCTGTATTAGAAGTCTCCCTGTAAAGTATGACTGGATGACATCCCTCCTCCACAGTTACAGAGAGTCTATTCATGGACTCTGCTATGTATGATGGTGTAAGAAACACTCATTACTTAGCTAATACATATCAGGCCCTTAACGACTTTATATGTACTTCATGTAATTGCAATTTATAGGTAAAGAAACTGAGATTCAGGAGGGTTAATAACTTGTTCAGGCGACACACAGTTTTTATGGGACAGTGAATTCAGCATAAGTAAGTTGGTTCTACTATTACACACTTCCTCCCAGGAATTCACAATTTAATGAGGAAGACAAATAGCAAAATTATGCTTCCTAATATCTGAACATTAGATTCATCATTTGTGATAGTAGGATAAATCTTTCCCATGGGTTTGTATTAAAGATTAAACAAAAAATGTGTATGAAGAGGATGATTTATACTTGTTATTTGTGTATGCATAATCAGGCATAGGATTTTAAAACGACACATCTAATGTACAAATTCCTGATATAATTGAGATTCTTCATTGTTCTTTCAACATGATATATCTCTCTCCTCCTCCTTCCTTATCATACTGTTAAATGAGCAAAGCAATGAATTTTTCTTATCCCTTCATTTGAAGTGCTTCATGGCTAATGTTGAGAGTAGCTGTCCAATTTTAACTATTCAAAGCATGTTGCATGTTGCTGAGTTTAGCCACACAAGCTAAGATAAACATGTCAGTAGGTAAAGTCCTCTGTGAGACTGTGAGCTTTCTGAAGGCAGAAGCTTTGCCTTGTGTTTCTAATTATTCTGATGCATTAGCACAGGCTCTAAAACATTGACTGGAAGTATGCCCAACATATCAATATTTTCTAGAATGATCTACATGAAGAGATTCAATTAGATTATAGTAACTAGAAGTATTACTATCAAGGCAGAGAGTTTCAGTAGAAGGAACGCTAGGCAGGATGACAGATTTTAGGATCCAGCGTAAATTTCTTATCTCAACACAGCTGCTGACTTGTCATGGAATCTTGCACAAGTCTCTAATACTTTCTTGAATATAGTGTATGAATCTATAAATATTAAACCATCTGACTTGCTTTTAAAAACAAAGCTATAAATGACAGAATTAAAGTGTTTTAGAGCTAGAAAAAGCCCAAGAGATTGTTTTTTCCTCCTTCTTACCACAACTCTATTTAAAGCTCACACAATCCCACTTAAAGCTGTCATTCAAAAATATTAAATGATTTGACAAAGGAGCACAAATGATTGGTTACTGAACCAAGGTTTCCTTCTTTCCATTCCAGTCTTATTAGAAAATCTTACGTGTTAAGTACAATCTGATGTAACTCATATTTAGAATATACTCTAGAATTTACAAAACAATTGTTTAAATGCCAATCTTTCTACATGATAAGCATTGCCATTCTGACTTTTTGCAGGAGAGAACACAGAATCAGTGAACTTAGAATTTAAACTGACTTATCCACATTCACAAGAGACTGAGCTGGGACTTGGACTGTCCATCCGTCTTTACACTTCCTCCTACTTTAAGTAGTAAAGTACTTGCTGAATTCCATTGGTTGTGTTATAATTACATGGACTAATCTTTATGTTGTTGCTTGCACATAACATTTAGTAGTTACATTTCCCCTATTTCTCTTTTATAGATTCTAATTTTCAGTGTTGAAAAATCTGATTTTCCTCACTTGTGAATCATGAAATTAAGATACTTTTCTTCTTGTTAGTAAAATGTTGCACCCTTAATGGAGGAAATCAGGGGGAAATTAGTACTTACAACCTTACTGGGCATATTTATGCAAAACTGTTCACATGTCTATATAATAATGTATAACACCAAACATAGCGGCAAGACATGATATGTAAATGTAATGGAAAAAAATACTTAACCTGCCTTAAGGTAGATAAAAAAGAATTCTCATTTAAATGAACTTTCTAAATTGAGTAAAACAATTAGTAGAAAGATTTTGAAGGGCTTGTTCTTAAGCTGTAAATTAACTCTAGAAGGTGAAATCTCCTGTCTGGGTTAAGCTTAGGGCAAACTTGTCTCCTAGTGGTTAACTTCATTGAACAGTTAAGTAAGTGACTATTCAGATACTTGATACAAGTTTAAGAACATTTGCTTACTGATGTCAGTAAGGTGACAGTCTGCACAGTTTGAAAACTACATTTGAAGTTGTTTTTTCTCAAATAAATTCTGGTACCACAGAGATATCCCTTTCCTGTAAATTCAAAGCATCCTTAAGCAGCCTATCTTACCTTAAGGCACACTAAATAGATTATGAGACAGGAGGTGTTAGTAACATACTGAATCTCAGAATTTGGAAATACAAAAAGAATAAAAAGGTGCAACTGAATTGGACAAATATAGTTCCGTAGCTACTTAAAGAAACATTACCATTCAATGTTAAATTCCAAAATATTGAAATTAATGGTTTATGTAAGTTTTGATTGGTGCAAACTGTTAGTCGTTCTAATTAGAATCCCAATAATTTAAACAATGTTATATGATATTATTATTCTTTTATCTCACTGAATACCTGCCTTGCTGATTCAGACTTAGATAGTAAGAAAACATAAATGTTCCAGACAACACATTACTTTGAAATCAGAATTCCAAAGACAAAGATAATATTCTGAGCTAAAGTGTTTCTAGAAAATGTGGGATTCAAGATGCAAACAATAAAATAGGTAAAGTTTGAATTGGCAAAAATAAATAGTAGTAATATAAAATAAAGAGCATTTAAGCTGAGCAGAAAACATAAGCAGATAGTTAGATTTAACAGCATACTTACCATGTTCAGTAAGGCAGTGAGATGCTACTTCCTACGGGTTCATGAATTTTTTAGAAGGGTGTCAAGGGAGATTATCTATAATGAATGCTAGATATCCATATTTCTTCAGTTAAAAATGTTCAAATTCACTAGAGTGTTTCATGCATATCCAGCAAATATGTATCACTGAATGAGTTGCTGCAACCTCTGATGGTGCAGGTTGATAATTATACCTGATGCCTGCTGAGGGTGTGGCTAGGGCCTGCAATCCAGCCTGTGTCTACTTACCAAGTCAGGACTACAAACATCAAGAGGAAAGGAAGCCTCCTTCTAATTCATTCAAATCTCCCTAGGAGCCAGATGCAGACCTAACACACACAGTCTCTCCACATTTCTTCTCTTTCACTTCAAAAACGGATAATTCCATTCCTGCTTTCTTACTTGAGTTTCTCAAAACATAAATCTTATTTATAGAATGCATTACCAATACTATGATAATGCCTCATTCTTAACAAACAAGTTCTCCTTTTATTTACCATGCACCCATGACAATTATTAAGATGAGTAAATTTGTTCCATGCAACTACTCTGGGGTTTGAATTCAAACCCTAGATTGTACAAATTTTTCTTACCTTTTCAGTACTCATTGCTTTCCATTCCTACACCCCTTTAGAGAAGGAAAAGCTACAGTTCTTATTGACCACATTAATATGCCTAGTTAATAACAAAAAATAAAGCAAAACTATTTTCTTTTGGTTATTTGAAAAACACTTTTGCTTTAAAATTGAAATCATTCTTCCTCAAGATTATTTAAATCTGAACTAATTATACTGTTAAAATTTTGAAATAATATTATAGTATTTGATAATGTTTTGAGATCGAAGATAGATTTATCACCAAGTGTGGGTAAATTAGTAGGGGAAATAGCACTTGCCAAAAGCTTAACATATAAAGATCAATGTATTTTACCCTACAGACAACTCAAGGTTATGGTCATATTTAACACACCTAGTCCCTTGTGCCAGCTAAAGTTTTTAAAAGCTCCTTGCCTAGACTTAATGCTTCAGTTCGATTTACTCATATATTTTCAGTGCATACTGTATGTCAGATTCTATAGTAAAACTGATGCATCGCTACAAAAATCTCTTTAAATGGAAGCAAAAACGAAGAATAAGTCATGTAATTGACTTGGTAAGAAATCTCATCTGAATTTCAGACCCCATTCTTCCCATCAGGGGGCACTGTTGTATAATCATTCATAGCACTTTAGTTTTTTCTCCCATCTCCAAGCCCCTCCACCTTTCCATCTTCTCTAGTAATAAGATACATGTTCAGGTCAAATGGAATCCCAGAATTTTTCAGAGAGATGTGTTTTATTTACTTATTCCTTCAAAATGGATGAATATTTTAATATTTATGTTTTTTAAGCCTGATCTTTGTTTCAGATAAC
The DNA here is from genome assembly GCF_000001405.40 of Homo sapiens. Lineage (NCBI taxonomy): Eukaryota > Metazoa > Chordata > Mammalia > Primates > Hominidae > Homo > Homo sapiens. The sequence goes on along the minus strand of NC_000011.10, from coordinate 99,739,454 downwards.
GTAAAGGCAAATCGGAGGTGTAAAAGATTCCGAAAAAATACAATCTGTCTTGAAGTTAAATTTCACACTTTCCCTACTATGTACTTCTTTAAAGTAAAAGCTAGATTTTATATATTTAATAATTGAGTGTCAACCCTATCATTTTCACCACTTCCTCATATGAACCATCTTGATAAAGGAACTACCCATATTTTAAGACGGGCAACTTGAGCTTTAGGTTATTTTAGTTTCCAAATTTATATTATTATAAATAAACTTTTAAAGTTCATAAGGGAATAACAATTATGCTCTATGTGGTAAGTGCAGTAAGAGGAATGTTTGGAGAACAGCTATAAAGACAGCAAAGTCTAAATCAAAGTGAGCAACACAGAACAAGGTGGTCAAAATAAAAGACAGAAGGGTACTAGGCCCCAGAAGACTCAGATGTTTGAACTCTTAATCTATCGTCTATATTTATTACATCTGGGCCTTGTAAGGTATCTGGTCCCTTATCCACAAATACATACACATACACATACAATTTATTCTCATAAGTATAACAAGCGTAAGCTAGAGGTGATTCTAATATTTTGCTTCATGACAATAGAAAAAAACTTTTGACATACATTTTTTAAAAAGCCACCTTATTATTTACATTCCTTCTACATGCCTAAAACCCCCTCTACTGCCTATGGGATAGAGTACGAGTTCCTTTGCCTGAATTTCAAGCCCCAGGTCCTGTGGCATTTGAATACCTCTTCAGCTTCATTTCTCACTCAACATTTCTTCCTTTAGTAAGCTCACTTTCTACACTCCAGGTTCTACACACACATACACACACACACACACACACACACACGTTACTGTCTTATGAATGTATCATTTTTATAGCCTGCCTTTTCTGGGTTATTTTTTCTGCTTTCAGCACTTTCCTTCTATTATTTCTTCAGCTGGTAAATTCCAACTTATCCTGAAATGAACTGGACATCAATTTGTCTAAAAGCTCTCTTGGACCACCTATTTCAATTTCCTAGAGCTACTATAGCCAAATACCACAGACTGGGTGGCTTAAACAATAAAAGTTTATTTTCTCATCGTTCTGGAGACTAGAAATTTAAGATCAAGATGTTGACAGGTTTGGTTTCTTCTGAAACCTCTCTGCTTAGCTTGTGGGTGGCCACCTCCTCACTGTGTCTGAGTATCCAAACTTCCCTCTCTTATAAGATACCAGTCAGACTGGATTAGGGCCCATCCTAATGACCTCATCTTAATCATCACTTTAAAGGCTCTATCTCCAAACTCAGTCACATTCTGAGGTACTTGGGGTTAAGATGTCAACATATGATTTGAAGTCGGGAGGCATAATTCAGTCCTTAAGACCATCTAAACTAATTTGTGTGCCTCCTTTTCTGTGATCTCATAGTATTTCTCTAACGATACTGCATAGACGTTTTCTGTTTAGTTCTATGAACTTTGTTTCCTCAACTAAACTTGAAGAAGTATAAATATATTTCACTAAGGATGCATCACAATTTCAAAGATTTTATGCTATGAAAATATAGTTCATGGTAATCACTGGACATCACCGATGGTATGATATTTTATTTTAGTGACGTTAAAAAGTGAAAAAGATGCATCTTCTGATTGGTAAAACACTGTACTCGTTCTATCCTGAAGGCTTAGTCGAGTAACAAATCTACATTAGGGACTCAGGAAATAGTTTTTGAATTCAAGGATTAATTTATCTTCATAACTCTTGTGTGAAATGGGAAGTTTGGAATTACACCAATTTTAAATAGAATAAATTATGCCTCATAGAAAATATATATTCAAATTACAGTTATTTGGAAAGAATCCAAAGATTAGAACCCATATGCTTGGATTATTTTTTCAGTGCTTTCCCTATGTTTCAGAACTAATAAACTGCAAAACAGAGACCAGAAATAAAGAAATTGAAAAAGCAGACACCAAGAAATAAATTCTGATTCTGAGTCTAGATATCTATCCACTTTTTCAAACTACCTGGAATGTAGTTCTAATCTTCTTAATTCACTGGTCAGAAAGAAGATGTTGTATTGCTTCATGGTTATATATTTTTTATCAACAGTAATGTAACACTTGTATTCCACCTTGGACTATAAGAACGTTTAAACTGGAAGATAATTACAGGAGCTTCAGGAGAACAATAAATACGAAGAATATGATAAGTTATTTAGAGTAAGTTGATTGAGAAGGTGGTAAAGAAATTCATGGTAAGAGCACAACTTGAGTTGGACTTTGAAAGGTTTATTGAAAGACTGTGTGTGCGTGTGCGTGTGTGTGTGTGTGTGTTTGTGTGTGTGTGCATGTGTGTTACAGGGTGGTTAAAGAGTTTTTTCCCTTTGACAAAAGTAAAAAAAGAGGGCAAAACGTGGAGACTATTCTGAAACTTGACGACAGAAGGCATTATTAGTCAAAATATGAGACTTGCTAAGTTCACTGTGCTTGGGAACACTGCTGTTTAATTCCTTAATTTCCCAGGCTTTTATGATTTTCTTATGTATTTTGGTGTAAGTGATCACAAACTTTGTAATTCCCCACAGCTGATCCATCTGTTTATTGTGAAAGGTGATAGAAAGAACTGTATACAAGGCTATATTTTATATATAAATAAGACTGTATCTTATTTAATACATAATTACTTTGAGTAGGTATTGTCTCTATTTTATAGATATAGATACATATAGATAGGCCTACTGCAGTATATTTAAAATTTTTGGTATAAATATCACCGTCAATGTATCCTTCTACTATTAATTTCACACTTCGATAATTATGATCTCACATACATGGTTAACTGGTATTGTTTCCTGAGCTTGAAACAAGTAATACATTTACCCCTGCTAGATCTTGGATGTAAGAAAACTATATGTTACAGAGATAGATTAAACACATTAGATACAATCGTCTAACACAGCTGTTTAAAAATGCTGTTTTGACCCCATTTTGAGGCCTTGACTGGAGGCCAATCTGTTCCCCTTCTTGGGCAGCTGATGAAGTTCACACTCCAACCCCTTCTTCATCAGACCCTTACATTCTGGGCTCCTCTACACCAGCCCTCATTGCCCCAGGCCTAGGTTCCACACTAAAAGGAACAGCTCCTAGGCTCCAGATCCTGTCAAAATTATTCAAATTAGCCAATCCACAGTAAGTCTGAGAAACCTAGCTAACCCCACCCTGCTTACCACAGATAAGCTTGCTGTTACACTGTTCATAGGTGCAACCTCTGTCTAGCCCTGCAACTTTGTTGAAAGCTGCAAGTAATAGAGTTCTGCTTTCCATCTATTCAAGTGTCTGTGTTTTGTCCCACGCTCAAAAGAAATCTTAAATCTACCAATCTCGTAATTTCAGCACTTAAATATGAAAAAGAAAGAGAGAGAGGGACAGAGAAAGAGAAAGAAAAAGAAAGAGAGAAAAAAAAGAGAAAGAAAAAGAAATCAAGAGGAGCTATTCAGTTCGTAGAAGCAGAGCAGAACGGTGGTTGTCAGGGGCTGGGGGAGGATGAATGAGGAGACGGTGGTCAAGGTGTACAAAGTTTCAGTTTTGCAAGATCTGGAAATCTAAAGTACAGCAACGTGACTGTAGTTAACAATACCGTATTGTATACCTGAAATCCACTCAGCAGGTGGATTTTATGTTCTCTACACACACAAACGATGGTAACCGTATGAGGTGATGAATATGTTAGTTTCTGGTGATACACAAGGTATATATCAATACATCAAGTTGTACAACTTAAACGTATATAACGTCTGTTTGTCAATTATACCTCAGTAAAGATGAGAGGAAGGAAGAAGCTATTTCAGTAGGCTTCCCGTTTATCCAGAAATTTGGCTTATTCTACTAAAATAATATTTAATTGTTTTTATTCAGTATCAATTCTAACACATAGTAGGTATCAAACAATTTTGATCTCCTGATCAAAAAATAGTGAGTCAATAAATTCAATCTTCATTGTTCAATCTTCTTATGGTCCACAGCATTCATAGGAAATTTTAACCAAAATTGGTGAAATAGTCTATGTGTTGCTGTACAAAATAAACATATACCTTCTACTTTTTAAAATTTTGTACCTCAAGTTTTACTATTGAGAAAATATGTAAGAAAATATCAAAGTAGAGGAGTTAAACTCAAGACAACTGGAGGAACTGGGACATAATTTACTTTATGTTTTACAGGAAGGTGAATTCTGATAAAAATCCTTCATTGGGATTTTCAGGAGATAATTTGTTTAACTAACACACCTTAGAACGTAATCTCTTCTAAAAGGTAAGCTCCATAAGGACAGGATCTTACAACAATGCCTAGTACATAGTAGGTACGAATAATACATGTAGAAAAAAATAAATGAACCTAAGATGTTGACTTCTTAATTCACTTTCTATTATAACACAGTGGGTTACAGAACTTTTGTTTTTGTTTTTGTTTTGAGACGGAGTCTCGCTCTTTCCCCCAGGGCGGACTGCAGTGGTGCTATCTCGGCTCACTGCAAGCTCCGCCTCCCGGCTTCACGCCATTCTCTTGCCTCAGCCTCCCTAGTAGCTGGGACTACAGGCGCCTGCCACTGCACCGGGCTAATTTTTTGTATTTTTAGTAGAGACGGGGTTTCACGGGGTTACCCAACTTTTAAAGAGACTATTGTATAGGTAGCTTTTCCCCGGACCCAGCAACTGGATGTAGGAATTAGGGATTATTCCCTTCCAGTAGGAAGCAGGCAAAAAAAAAAAAAATCAGTGTAATAATCAACAATGTAAATAGGGACACACCCTCTTTGGCTGGGGATCATCAAAAACGACTACGTATGGAAAACAAAATCAATGCCTTTTAGAAGTCTGTTTTTGAGGCAAATTAAGAATCTAGTAATGTGAGTTGTAAAATCAGTATGATATATAATAATGTTTTGTAATCCTGAATGTCTCAAAATGGAGTCACTTATGACAAATGACTCAGCTTCAGTGAAATTGCTGACCCCTCTGAGTGATAAAAACACTTATGGTGGCCTGAGATGATACGATGACACCTAACATGGCCAGGTACCTCTGAGGCCTGACAAGAAAGTGAAGTGATAGGATTGCTAATGCTTACAAAATACAGTTAGATAGAATGAATAAGATCTAGTATTTGACAGCCCAACAGGGTGACTACAGTCAACAATAATTTATTGCACATGTTACAGTAAGAATATAATTGGATTGTTTATAACACAATGGAAGGATAAATGTTTAAGGTGATGGATACTCCATTGACTCTGATATGATTATTACGCAGTGTATGCCCATATCAAAATTTCTCACGTACCCCATAAATGTATACATCTACTATGTACTCATAAAATTCTCTCCTAAAAGGCAGCTGAAGATAGTGGCCATGTATACTTCTTTGGAAGACTCCAAACACCACAAAGAAGCTGACCACAGTAAGAAGCCTATAGCATTTCTGCTGGTGAGAACTCTGGGGCCTCCTTCCTTCAGCTGCAGGTGCCAGAGCTCTGCTGGGGAAAAAAAGCAGTGAGGCCCTTCTCCTGGGTGAACTGGCTCTCTTAGGAAAACTGGACCTGCCAGTTCATAAGTCAGTAGGCTGGTCTCTGGAGCTACTCGCTCCTTTTTATCACTGCTTGTGTGTTAAACATATTTGCATGATTGTTGGTGTGTGAAAGCCTCATAATAAACCAGAATTTGTAAGCACTTAATTGGCGACTGTGTTATTATGACCTCTGTCCCCTCACCGCCCTCCATCAGAGTTAGCACCAGCAGGCTGATTTGATTCTCACAGGTTCAATACAACTACAGCACCTTGCATCTTTAAAAACAAGTATTTTGGAGACAATGCCCACCATTAAGTATTTTGGGGATAATACCCATATTAGAAAAGCAATTGTGGAGACAAACAACACTTGGTTGAAGAGGGCAAAGTTACTGCCATAGCTACCACCTTTATTCAGTTTCCATAGACCCTCCCAGTTATCTTTTCATTTTTGCTCAACTAGCTTCCAAACCATGTTCTAAACAGCCTTCAAGAACTTTGTGGAGAAAACATCATGAGCAATGAGACATAGTGAAACCAGCAGGAGGCGCCCCAGAAAATGGCCACATTAAGGCTTTTTTTTTTTTTTTTTGAGACAGAATCTCTCTCTGTCGCTCAGGCTGGAGTGCAGTGGCACGATCTCGGCTCACTGCAACCTCCGCCTCCCAGGTTCAAGCAGTTCTCTGCCTCAGCCTCCCAAGTAGATGGGATTACAGGCACCCCTCACCATGCTCGGCTTTTTTTGTATTCTTAGTAGAGACGAGGTTTCACCATCTTGACCGGGCTTGTCTCGAACTCCTGACCTTGTGATCCATGCACCTCGGCCTCCCAAAATGCAGGGATGACAGGCGTGAGCCACCGCGCCCGGCCAAGGACTTTCACTGTTCCAGGGTCACCAGCAGATCACATGCTTTTCATCATACGCTGAAAAAATTCCTAAGAGCCCTCTGCTTTTTTTATGCCTGACACACCAATCAAAGATGTCAATAAAAGGCATATCTTTTATTTCTATACATCTAATACATGCATGTTTTTAAAAATGCTTCATCACAATGGGTTATTCCACCAGCATCTTAACTGGTCGCTTTCAGTCCCACTAATCTTTCATACTATTCCTCATGTCAGTTAATCTTCCTCTATTATTTTAATAACATCCCTTTCTTACTAAAATGTTTTCAGTGATTCCCACTTTACATAAATCAAACCCTAAACTCCTTATTGGACAGTGTGGAAGCTCAACATGGGCTTAAGCGCTAAGCTGAAGCACTCTATGCAAATGGTGCTGCCAAGTCCGCCAGGCCTTCTCCAGCATCCTTCTTTAGCTGATGCTTTACCTGTCTCCAATATTCCACTCAATTCTCACCTCTCTCATGGAATATTTCCATTCCATTTCAGCTTACGATGATCACTGTCTTTGTTCTAAATTTAAGGCTTATTTTTAGAACTGTACAATGTACTCAGTTATTATACTGAGTACTCAGTTATTATACTGAGTTATTATACAAGTACTCAGTTATTATACTGAGCCTTGTTTTTAAAATGTATTTCTGCTTCCATGTTCTCCCTTCTAAACTTATTATCAGTAATAACTACACAGTTCTATAATCTGACCTCTCATCACCCCTGATATCATTCCAGCTCACTAACTCTATTACTTCCATTCCATTAATTCTTTAAAACAACCTCAAATGCAGTTTTTCATTATTCACTATCTCCTTTCTTTCCTTGGCTCTGCGTCTAACAACTTCTTTGCATAAACCTTTTAAATCCTTTGCCTATCAGGACTTGTTTACCTTGCCTGATGAAACTCAAATGCTGGATGAATTCAACTATTTGTCTTCTTTGTATCTACATCCTAGTAAATAAAAAAAGTGGGAAAATTACAAAGACTATGCTGACATTAAAATTATGATTCTAATCTCAAATGGGCATTTATATACATTATATCTAAATATGGACACCAATAATTCCTCCTATTGTTCTAGCATGCATATGTCCCTTCCCCTCAAGAGAAGGAGTTTTTCTCCTTTGAATCTGGGCTAGCCTTGTGCTATACTTAACAACAGAATGTGGGAGAAGTGATGTGGTGCCAATTTGCAGTCTAGCCCTTAAGATATATTTAAGTAACTAAGGGAGTATAGAAAGTTCTAAGGCATCTACTCTAGTCTGGGGGATTACAGAACATATTTCTTAGAAAGAAGGACTTCACCTAAGGTCAGAATGAAATTGTCATTAAATTGGAGGTGAGATACTGAGGATGGTGGTGTGGACAGGATTAGAAATGCCCATTTTTAATAAAAACAACTTCAGTCAACTCTGTATGTTAAAAAAATATATTTCTGATATAGCACTGCTATCCTCCTCTCTCCAGGGAATTTTGAGTCTCTAAATAAGGGCTTAATTTAAGGGTAAAGTATTTGCATTTTGATAACATGCCAAGACTGCAATCATCTTTAAAACAAGGAATAGCACTTGACTTCTAACTCCATGACAAAGAGAGTTAACTAAAGAGCTTCTTTTCAGTATAAAAGAAGTTGTAAGAAAAGATAAACTCTTAGGTGGATCACGAGGTCAGGAGATCAAGACCATCCTGGCTAACACAGTGAAACCCCGTCTCTACTAAAAATACAAAAAAAAAATTAGCCAGGCATGGTGGCGGGCGCCTGTAGTCCCAGCTACTCGGGAGGCTGAGGCAGGAGAATGGCGTGAACCCGGAAGCGGAGCTTGCAGTGAGCCGAGATCGCGCCACTGCACTCCAGCCTGGGCGACAGAGCAAGACTCCGTCTCAAAAAAAAAAGAAAAAAAAAATGCTGATTTCCAGGTTATATAGCTGCTTGTCCCCTTCTAGTTTTGTAATCTTTCTAAGTTTTGAGGATGTGTTTCTACTCATATATGGGAGCTACCTAAGCTATCTCATGGAGGTAGAGAGTACAACTATAGTTACCAGAGGCTGGGAAATGGTGGGGAAAAGGAGGATGAAGTGTGGTTGGTTAATGGGTACATGCATACACTTAGGTAGAAGGAATAGGATCTAGTGTTCTCTAGCACAGCAGAGTGACTACAGTTAAAAACAATATATTGTGTATCTCAAAATAGAAAACTTAAAATGTTCCCAACACAAATAAATTATAAATGTTTGAGGTGATAGATATCCTAAATACCCTGATTTGACCATTATACATTGTATGCATGCATCATCACGTTTCCGTAAATATGTAGAAATGTTATGTATTAGTAAAATAATTTTTTAAAATACTCATTTGTTATTGAAGAACAGATTATAATTAAACAATAATATAACCATTTATCAATTCAAAAGAAGTAACATTAAAAATCTCAATGCCCCAAACATAACCATAAACTTGCTTCTACAAGTATTACCAATACTCATTGAATGATTTTGTAAATGTCTAATAGTAGATAACCGGCAGCCCTAAGATGGCATAAAATATTGAGGTGTTTATCTTTGATGGTTTTCATCCAATATAGTCTTGAACAGATCTTTATTTACGAAGTTAATATAGTATTCTCTCCGTCTTCTCTTTGTAAAGTAAAACCAATCAGGTAAAAGTGATGTTTGCATTTTAGGTTTACTGTTACTACTTAGATGCTTCTGCATTATCACACCCTTTCTTCTAGAGAATCCAGCCCTGCTCTGCTAGAATCAGAAGCCAGTTCCAGCAGAATTCTGCCTCCTTCTAGGGAATAGAACACAGCAGCTAGGTCATATTTAATTCTGTTTAATTAATAGTTATTCACAATATAAGTAAGTACTGGATGGCAGGTATGTGCTAGGTGTGGGGAGTGCATGGGAACAAGGAGGGATCTTAGCCCTCTCATTTAATTAAATTCAACTTTTACTTCTGGGATACATGTGCAGGGTGTACAGCTTTGTTACACAGGTGCAGCAAACCACTATGGCACACGTTAACCTCTCAACCCATCACCTAGGTATTAAGCCCAGCATGAATTACCTATTTTTCCTAATGCTCTCCCTCTCTGTACCACCACCACCCCCACAGGCCCCAATGTGTGTTGTTCCCCTCCCCGTGTCCATGTGTTCTCATTGTTCAGCTCCCACTTATAAGTGAGAACATGCAGTGTTTGTTTTTTGTTCCTGTGTTAGTTTGCTGAGGATAATGGCTTCCAGCTCCATCCATGTCCCTGCACAGGACATGATCTCACTCCTTTTTATGGCTGCATAGTATTCCATGGTGTGTATGTACCATATTTTCTTTATCCAGTCTATCACTGATAGACATTGGGTTGGTTCCTTGTCTCCGCCACTGTGAATTACTTCTACCATTGTGGAAGACCATGTGATGATTCCTTAAAGATCTAGAACCAGCCCTCTAGTTTCTAATAGCTTGAGTGAAGAAGCATACAGATAGCTATACTAATTCAAAATAATGTGTTACAAAGAAGGGAACAACAGACACTGGGGCCTACTTGAGGGTGCAGGATGGGAGGAGAGGAGCAGAAAAAAATAACTATTGGGTACTAGGCTTAATGCATGGGTGATGAAATAATCCGTACAACGAACCCCCGTGACATGAGTTTACCTATATAACAAACCTTAACATGTGCCCACAAACCTAAAGGTAAAAAAATGTTATGTCAGTTTAATAGTGAGCATTGAATTTTCCTTCCTGCCCAATATCTATGCCTTCTCTGAAGGCACCCCCATCACCCACTTTTCCCCCAAATGGAATTTATCTCATCCTTCTAAATACCCACGTGAATGTTATACCTTATTTATAACTCTTTCATCTTCATTTTATGTAAAGACATAAAGATGCCTATCTTTCTACTGCAATAGAGATTCTTTGAGGAGCAGGAAGAGGTCTTGTTCACCGTTGAACCTCCCTTACTTAGCACCCCAGAGGACATGCTCCTATTAATGTTGAAATCACTCTACTGAAGATCCAGATGGTATGGCTCAAGAACCTATGCTCATTAAGATGAAAAGTTATGTTGTACCTTGAGGTGTACAACATACCTGGATGCTCCTTAACCTGTGTTCCTAAGTTATGAGGTTAGCTCTGGCTCTACTGTATGCTCAAAATGCTTCTTTCCTTTCTCACCTGCTGGAAGTGACCAGTGACTGCTGACTGTTTTTTTTAACTCCTCAGACCTCAGACTTTTTGCTCCCCTTCAGCAAAGCTGACATCCAAGGCCAACTCCAATTTTGGTGACTCATGGTCACTACTCACCGTCTTTTAGGGTGAACTGTCTCATCTACCCTTCCTGGGGTTACCATCTGAGGAGAACAAGCAACCTAAGCAGGTTTCTATCCCGACAACTTTGTTCTACATCACTATGAGGCTGCTAATAAAGGAAAGCAATACCTTTGACAGCAGATCGTTATCTATTTATTTCTAAAAAGCACCTTCATTCAGTTAGATAGACCCTGAAAAATTTAGAAACATTGAGTATATTTAAATATTATCATCAGTAACTGCTAAAACAACAACAACAAAGAGCTACTCTTGTCTTTGTTACCGTTTAATGATTCTCTCAGAATATAGTATATTTGGTTAATTTAAGCTGGAATTTACCAGAGTTGCAATATTTGCATGGTTTGAGTTCTAATATCAAGGCCTTAAGATTTATCCTTTAAAATACCTCAAGTCACTCACAAATATTGTACACATTATTTTTCTTCCTGCTCAATATCTATGCCTTCTCTGTCTTTCCCTCTCTCTCTCTCATGTATGATCAGACTCCTCTATATTTTTCTAAACATATATTGAAATCTACATTTTTTGCAACGTACTCTTAACATATTTCTTTTTAAAAATCCATCACTTTTCCCTACTGATTCTAATATACAGGTGAGTCCTTAAATGTTTTCACTTCTGATTCCATTGATCTTGAATGAATAAAATGATTGATTTAGTTGATTGTCAGAGACGAATTACCATAGTGGTTAAGTAATCAATCTGAATGCATTCGAAACCTCAGACAAATGATTTAAACTCTCTGTGACTCAATTTTTTTTATGTAAAATAGAGACAGTGATGGATAATTGTGCAGATTAAATAAGTTAATAAATATGAAGCCCTTAGTACTAGATAAGCACGAGCTAATATTTAAAATGGGCAAAAACACAATAAATATGACAGTTTTAAAATGACTTTATGGTGTTCTATTTTATATTAACTTATGTATGTGGATGGCACTAAGTGTGAGTATTTTCAGTCAATATCAGTGAACCCATATATCTCTTCATTTTTTTCCACAGCTGTTTTTGTTTTTCTGGTGGGAGGTTTGAAAAATGTGTAATTTCCTTCCCTTAATTGATTTTTTTCATTAAAGGACAATAGTAATTTAAGTTCTACTTGGAAATGGGAAATATAGAGTTCCAGGAAAATTTGATGCTTACAACTATGAAACAATTAAGGATGGGATAATATAATAACTATGAAAATTATATTTAGTGATAAGGTTTGGGTTTGTGACATGCTCTATCTTGTCATATCAGAAACAAAAGAGATTTTAGGAGACAGATCGGGCTTATCATTGTTTATTTCATAACAATATTCTAATAACACACAATAGCAGCACAATGCCCTGGAATTTTTTTTTTTTTTTTTTTTTTGAGACGGAGTCTCGCTCTGTCGCCCAGGCCGGACTGCGGACTGCAGTGGCGCAATCTCGGCTCACTGCAAGCTCCGCTTCCCGGGTTCACGCCATTCTCCTGCCTCAGCCTCCCGAGTAGCTGGGACTACAGGCGCCCGCCACCGCGCCCGGCTAATTTTTTGTATTTTTAGTAGAGACGGGGTTTCACCTTGTTAGCCAGGATGGTCTCGATCTCCTGACCTCATGATCCACCAGCCTCGGCCTCCCAAAGTGCTGGGATTACAGGCGTGAGCCACCGCGCCCGGCCATGCCCTGGAATTTTATAGAGATTTATAAAAACAAATGTTGATTGTAGAACAAAAACTAGACTAAGATAGTTTCTATTATCTTTTATGTAAATTTTTTTCAAGTCGGTGTCTAATACATATTTTTATGGTTCTTTTAAGGATAGAATTTACAGGATATCATCACAAATTTTTTGATGAGGTGGAAAAGCACTATACTTAAAGATGGGGCGGAGAGTGGTATTGTGCAGTGGTTATATGACCTGCCGGAAGAATCTGACATTCTCCTAAATGTCTAAAATAATAGCCTGTGTCCAAATCTTAACTTCACTACTTGCTGCTCGTATCATCTTGAAAAATTAACTTAATCTGCTGTATTGTAGAATTGTCATATGTAAAATGGAGACGATAGTTTCCTATTTTTTAGGATTTGTTGTTAGATTAAATTAGATAATATATAAAAATACTTAGAATATTGCCTGAAGTAAGAAATAAGTGTCAGCGATTATTATTACATAGAGTTTAGCTTACAGTAAATAATCCACAGTAATTCTCAAGCAAATTGTTCTATTTCGTTTTGCTAGTAGAAAACATGTAGTAATTTCGGTGAGCTATCAAACTCTCCTTGCTTCAGACACTAAATGTACACTCTAAACAAAAAAAGATAAAGCAACAATGGGGTAAACATAACAGAGCCATAGATTACAGAAAAAGCTTTTATAAAATACTTTGCTATTAATTGCTTTTTACTCTGGCACACATACAAAAAGCACAGACTACACATCAGATCTCCCAGACAAGTAACTTCCTGTTCTGTTTCCACTGCTCGCTACTGTCTTAGGACTCTTTGGGGAGGATGTAGGTTTCCTCTTCAGTTCTCCTAAGTGTAGTCATAAGTGATGGTGGATGTGGCCCCAGAGATAGAGGGAGAGGAGATACCACTGACATCATATCCAAGAGGGAATTATACTTAAAGAGAACTTCTCATTTCCTTGAGGCTCATGGAGTGTGCCTTAGAGTTGGCTACTTCAGAATAGCCAAATAAGTAAGACTTGCATGACAATATTCTAATAATAATATTCTTATTTGGCTATTCTGAAGTAGCTTGTATCTTTAAAAAGACTAATGGAGAGGATTTGGAGAATGCCTCTGAGCCCTCAGATTTAAAAGGCCACATTACAGAAAGCCTGGTCATCAAAATCTGCAGTGTATTGCTTGTGTTTAATAAAGCTGGTACAAATTTACCACTGGACCATTCAAAATGGCAGAAGAGCAGGGCACAACTAATGACCTGAAAGGAAAATGTTCAACAGCAGAGCCTGAAGGACATGCAGATACACTACAGGAATCTGTTCTAAGAATACATATGTTTACGAAATATAAAAATAATATCTTTTTTGAAGTAATGAATTTAGATTTACTAAACATATTTAGTTTTTAACACACATATTCCTTTCTTCATTCTTCCAAGGAATTAAGAGAAGAAAACGTTACAAAGGCAAGGCAAAGATTAAAATGCTGAATATTTACTTAACTCATGATGATTTTTATAAAACACTTCTGTATTGGATCAAAACTTTGCCTACAATGCATATATATAAAAATTATTAAAATAAAAATTTAATATAATTAATGGAAGAAAATTTCTCTTTGTGAAAAGTTAAAAATAGTATCTTCATAGAGATACTTTGAAAATCGCTCTCTATCATAGTTTTCAAATTATATCTACCTTCTCCTTTCAAAAACAAAAAATCCATACCTACGCATAATTTCACTTTATCTCATTGTTGCTTTTTATTCTTGAAGTTTAAACAGTGTCTTATAAAAATCCCAGTGCATCTCATGTAAGTCTGAAGGGAGGATGATAACTGTTTCCTGAGGCCATCCCAGATGATGAGGGAAGACTGTGAAAGAGAAGTTTCACATCTAATTACACAGATAATTACACAACTAGAAAATTCAGATGTATTTTCCCTTTTGCTGGGCCATTTTGAGACTTCACAATAGACTTACAGTTTATTTCTAAACAATCAAGTCTTCTACTTAATCTCAAAAGCAAAGTTTAGAAAACTTAGCATTGGCGCAAAAAATCTTTTATCTTGTGATGTGAAATGTAAATTCTGTTTTGATATCATACAATTAGCCTTACTGAGTCCTTTACATTTTTTTCTTAATAGGCAACATATATAACAGCTTGTAGTATAGTAACCTACTTTTGTCATCAAACAGCCAGATAACACAAGGGGACATTCACTCCTTTAGTCTTCCTGCTGTGTTTTTGTAATTTTTTTTTGTCAGATACTGTTATTCAGCTTCCTGAATTCAACCAATATTTATGGTGCATTTACCGATAACTAAAAGGTAGTATCTCTTAGTCAAGTCCTCTGGAACCAGGCTGTCTGGATTCAAGTCTCAGTTCAAATAATCACTAACTGTGTGACTTTGACAAGTTTTCTGTTCTTCGCTTTCTCATTCTAAATTTGGGGATAATAATAGTACCTGTCCTCACAGGATTTTGAGGATTGAATTAATTAACATATGTAATGGCTTAGAACAATGTTTGGCATTGAGCACTCCAAGACTGTTATAATTGTCAAGTGAAAATCGTGTAGTGGTGTTGCTATATGGAATATATAAAAATGAACACATACTCAAAGGAGCTGATGATCTGCCAGGGAGTCTGGAAGAACTTGAGACATGGATACAACGTCTCTCTCCACTTTGTAATTTAAATAAGTGCTCTAAGATAGATGTGTGACATTGGTAAGAGTTAAAAGCAGAGAACAGAAAATCCCACTTGAAATGTCTTAGAAAAAAACAAAGAGAGAGTATATAGATCCTGAAGAACAAGCAGGATTTCAATAGGCATAAGACGGAACATGCTCCAGGCACTGAAGAGGAGCCTGTTCACATGAATGACTGTGCAGGACCAGCTAGGGACATGCTGAAAGACAGGAAGTTTCTAGTTTGATTGAAGAGTACGTGTGTGTAATAAGGTAGAACAAGATAAGCCTGGGAAGATATTCTGAGACACAAACCCAAGAATTCAGACTAGTAGAATGAATAGTTTAAACTTAATTTGGTACATGCTTAAGCTTTAGATTAGACTGACTTGGGCTGGAATTCTGGCTCCACTATTTGATTGCTAACTGGCCCTTAGAATGTGACTAAAATTATCTGAGCCTCAGTTTCATCATTTGTAAAAGGAAGATTATAAGATCTATCCCATAACATTATTTAAACAAAACACACACGCGTGCGCATGCACACGCATGCACACACACATACACACACACAATTTACTGCATCCTTTACTTATCAGGCATTGCTGCAGGTACTGCAAAGACAAAAATAACAAAATAGAAAATAACATTGTTATTTTCAAACTTACAGTGGCAGAGGAGGGGGAAGAATGCACAATAAACCAAATTCTTAAGGAAAATATGTAACATATTAGATGGCAGTAAATGCTTTGGAGAAAAATAAAACAGAGTATAAATGCAAGATAGGTGTGGTGGTAGAAGTTTATTAAAATTGTCTACGTTGGTTTCTATTTTATCAGGGAAATAGGAAGCAGAGTCATCTGGAGGTTGGAGTAGAGATGCAAAGGCATTAAATGATCATATAGGAGAATGGGAGATGAAAAGTACTAGGGGAATATAGTGTGCTTGCCTAGAAACACTAAAGGGCCACTTGCAGTAGGGATCTTACATTTAATGAGACCAGGCAGCATGGTCTAATTTTTTTCTCCAGCCATGTACATTTGTCCGAGAGGAACCATGGAAGAAATACAAGTTTGGCTAATGTGGATTTTTTTTTCCCAAAGTGGAATCGATAATAAAGGGAGGAAGGGAGGAAGGGAGTTGAGGAATATGCACAGAATCAATTATATACCAGGTCATAGAATTCCTAATTAAGGGAGTAAGTATGAGCATAGAAATAACAATAGGTAAAGAGAAAACATGTTAGGAACAGTAGATTGTAGATCCCCATGGAGTCTAAATATAGCTGGTGTTGAAACACTAGAGTGCATGAGCTGAAAAAAAAATAGTGTTGTTGGAAACTGGTTTAACTTATTGGTAATGACAACATCTATGAAGTGACAATGGAAATAAGTGTCTGAGGAAATGAGAGTGCAAGGATGATTGATGACACGACTGGGATTCCCGGAGAGTTGAGGTATACATTATGTATATGGGGTTGGGAGTGGAGGCCCCATATACATAATATATAACCCATATGGGCTATATCTCCCCATATGGGGAGAGTTGTGGGCTCAGTAAAAGACAGGGTCTTACCAGGAACACCCAGAATACTCTAGCAAAATTCTCTGACAAATCTTAGCAATTTGACTGTACCTTGTATTTTTTAGAAGATTAGGGTTGACTAGAACTTCCTTAAATTATTTTTGTTTAACTTTTATTTTAGGTTTGGGGGGTACATGTGAAGGTTATATAGGAAAACTTGTGTCACAGGGATTTGTTGTAGATATTATTTAATTACCCAGGTATTAAGCACAGTACCCAGTAGTTATGTTTTCTGCTCCTCTCCCTCCTTTCACCCTCCCCAAGAAGTAGACCCCAGTGTCTATTTTCGTCTTTGTGTTCATAAGTTCTCATCATTTAGCTCCCACTCACAAGTGAGAACAAGTGGTATTTGGTTTTCTGTCCTGCATTCATTTTCTAAGAATAATTGCCTCCAGCTCCATTCCCATTCCTGCAAAAGACATGATCTCATTCCTTGTTATGGCTGCATAGCATTCCACAGTGTATATGTACCACATTTTCTTTATGTAATCTGTCACTGATGGAAATTTAGGTTGATTCCACATCTTTGCTACTTTCAATAATACTGCAGTGAACATTCACATGCATATATCTTTATGGATTAATGATTTATATTTGTCATGGTATATATCAGTAATGGGATTGCTGGATTGAATGATAGTTCCACTTTTAGCTCTTTCAGGAATTGCTATACTGCTTTCCCACAATGGGTGAACTAATTTACATTCCCACCAACAGTGTACAAGTGTCCCCTTTTCTCAGCAACCCCACCAGCATCTGTTATTAGCTTTTTAAGAATAGCCATTCTGACAGGTGCGAGATGCTATCTCATTGTGGTTTTGATTTGCATTTATCTAACTATCAGTGACATTGAGCTTTTTTCCATATGTTTGTTGGCTACATGTATGTCTTCCTTTGAGAAGTGTTTGTTCATGTTGTTTGCCCACTTTTTAAATGGGGTTGTATGTTTTTCTTTTGTAAATGTGTTCAAGTTCCTTATCAATGCTGGATATTGGACCTTTGTCAGAGGCATAGTTTAGAAATATTTCCTCCCATTCTGTAGGTTGTCTATTTACTCTGTTGATAGTTTCTTTTGTTTTGCAGAAACTCTTAAGTTTAAGTAGATCCCGCTTGTCAATTTTTACTTTTGTTACGATTGCTTTTGGTGTCTTCATCATGAAATCTTTGTTGGTTCCTATGCCCAGGATGGTACTGCCTAGGTTGTCTTCCAGGGTTTTTATAGCTTGGGGTTTTACATTTAAGTCTTTAATCCAACTAGAGTTGACTTCTGTATATGGTGTAAGGAAGGGGTCCAGCTTCCATCTTCTGCATATGGCTAGCCAGTCATCCAAGCACCATTTATTCAATAGGGGGTCTTTTCCCCATTGCTTGTTTTTGTCAGTTTTGTAAAAGATCAGATGGACATATATGTGTGGCCTTATTTCTGGTCTATTTATTCTGTTGCTCTATGTGCCTGTTTTTCCACCACTACCATGTTGTTTTGATTACTGTAGCCTTGTAGTCTATTTTGAAGTAGAATAGCATGATGCCAAAAGCTTTGTCCCTTTTGCTTAGGAAGGCGTTGGCTACTCGGGCTCTTTTTGGTTCCATATGAATTTTAAAATAATTTTCTCTAGTTCTGTGAAGAATTCTGATGGTAATTTGACAGGAGTAGCATTGAATCTGTAAATTGCTTTGGGCAGTACGGCCATTTTAATGATACTGATTATTCCTTTCCATGAAAATAGGATGTTTTTCCATTTGTTTTTGTCTTCTTTGAGGAGTCTATTTTAATTCTCGTTGTAGAGATCTTTCACCCTGGTTAGATGTATACCTAAGTATTTCATTCTTTTTGTGGCAATTGTGAATGGGATTGCTTCTCTGATATGCCCTTTGGTTTGCCTTTTGGTTTTGTTGGTATATAGGAATGTTAATAACTTCAGCACATTCATTTTTTATCTTGCAACTTTGCTGAAGTTTATCCACTGAAGGAGCTTTTGTCCAAGACTACTGGGTTTTCCTGCTATAGAATCATGTCACCTGCAAAATGAAATAGTTTGGCTTCCTCTCTTCCCATTTCGATTCCTTTATTTGTCTTGCCTGATTGATCTGTCTAGGATGTCCAATACTATGTTGAATAGGAGTGGTAAGAGAGGGCATCCTTGTCTTGTACAGATTTTCAAGGGGAATGCTTCCAACTTTTGCCCATTCAGTATAATGTTGGCCAGGGGTTTGTCATAGAAGGCTTTTTGAGTTACGTTCTTTCAATACCTAGTTTATTGAGAGTTTTTAACATGAAGTGATGATGAATTTTATCAAAAGCATTTTCTACATCTATTGAAATAATCATGTGTTTTTTGTCTTTAGTTCTGTTTATGTAATGAATCATATTTACTGATTTAAATATGTTGAGCCAACTTTGCATCCTAGGGGGAAGCCTACTTGATTATGGTGCTGCTAGATTTGGTTTGCAAGTATTTTGTTGAGGATTTTTGCATTGAAGTTTACCAAGGATATTGGCCTGAAGTCTTTCTTTGTTGTTGTTGCTATGGCTCTGCCAGGTTTTGGTAGCAAGATGATGCTGGCCTCATAGATAGAGTGGAGGAGTCCCTCCTCCTCAATTTTTTGAAATAGTTTCTATAGTACCAGATCTTCTTTGTACATCTGGTAGAATTCAGCTATGAACTCATCAGGTCCCAGGGTTTTTTTTGTTGTTGTCGGTAGGCTATTTATTACTAATTTTGCAACTTGTTATTGGGTCTATTCAGGGAATTGATTTCTACCTAGCTCAGTCTTAGGAGAGTGTATGTGTCCAGTAATTTATCAATATCTTCTAGGTTTTCTAGTTTGTGTGTGTAGAGGTGTTCATAGTAGTTTCTGATGGGTGCTTTTATTTCTGTAGGGTCAGTAATAACATTTCCTTTGTCATTTCTAAATGTGTTTATTTAGATAGTCTCTCTTTTCTTTTCAATTAGTTTAGCTAGTGGCCTATTATTTTTTTCAAAAAACAACTCACGAATTTGTTGATCTCTTGAAGTTTTGTGTCTCGATTTCCTTCAGTTCAGCTCGGATTTTTGTTATTTCTTGTGTTCTGGTAGCTTTGAGGTTGATTTGTTCTTGCATCTCTAATTCTTTCAGTTGTGAAGTTAGGTTGTTAATTTGAGATCTTTGTAACTTTTTGATGTAAGCATTTAGTGCTATAAATTTCCCCTTAATCCTACCTTAGTTGAATTTCTAATTCATTGCCTCAAAATCTTGCTTCATCTTCATCCTTTGTTTCCTCTTCACTGTATTATTTTATAGAAAGCATATATTAAATTTGCATACATTTTACTCCTATGAAAACATTTTTACACATATATCCTCACATAAGCTCCTAAGGAAAGAGTGGCCTTCTTAAATAAGATCCTCTATTATGTTACTATGTTCCATTTTCTTTTTCCCGACAAAGTCTCATTCTCTCGCCCAAGCAGGAGTACAGTGGCGTGATCTCAGCTCACTGCAACCTTTTATCTCTGGGGTTCAGATGATTTTCATGCATCAGCCTCCTGAGTAGCTGGGACTAGAAGTGTGTGCCACCACACCCAGCTAATTTTTGTATTCTTACTAGAGATGGGGTTTCATTAATGTTGTCCAGGTGGTCTCGAACTCCTGGCCTCAAGTGATCCACCTGCTTCGGCCTCCCAAAGTGCTGGAATTACAGGCGTGAGACACCACACCCGCTCTCTGTTATGGTCTTAATATTATTCCTTACTTTTTCTTGGAACATCACTCTATCATTTTTTCTTTATCTTGAATATAAAAGCCCTTTCTATTACCGGTGAAAATCCTTGAGGAGAATAATGCTCAAATAATAAATACATTGAAAGTACAGTAGATAGAATTGAAACCTGGCCTTACTACTACAGGACCTTTAAGTTCTAAAAGTTACTTAAAGTCTATGAACTTTATTTTCCTATTTAGCTGTGGTATTTTAGAGTTAAATATGGTGTTTGTGACACTTAGCAAAGTGTTTGGTACATAGTAAGATGTCAGTAAATAGAGACTAAAATTTTTTTCTCTCATCTTGCTAACTATAGCATTTGATGCTATAGATTACCATCCTCATATTCTGTTCTTCTCAAGTTTCTGACCAATTTAGATGTGTGCTCCTAACATAGTTTATTTTTCCTTTAAACTGTCTTTCAGTTTTTCCTTCCCTTTCACAGAGCCACAAGAAGCATCTCCAAGCTGATGTTTCCCAAGTGTCTTTTTCAAGTTTCAAACATGTTTTACTTGTCTATATTTGGTTCCCAAATTGGCCATATATCAGAATCACTCAGGAACTTTTCCTAGACCCTCTTCCAGATGGACTGAATTAAAATCTCTGAAAACAGGATCTGTTATGCTGCTGCTAAGACAAATTTGTAGGATAACAATATATATTATGAACAAGTTAGTCAAAAAGTGCATTTTTAATGCTTTTCTTGCCACTGTGCAAAGAACAGTGTCTGACACAGTGAGTGATTAACAAATATTTTTGGTTTAACAAATGTATTAGTGAACACATAATAGAAGGCAATGCAAAAGGCTTAGAATAACAATCATAAAGAGTGAGGTTATTAAAAAGAAATAAATAATTCCTGAAGATGTGTAAGGTTCCAATTAGAGCGTATTGGCATGACCAAGTAGAATTCTATTAAGGAGAGTTATATGATATTCTTCAGCAAAGTTTGGCATTTCAGAATGAGGCAATTTATAATTAAAATGTAGGAAGTAAACCTGAGTTGAAATTCGCAATGAAACGCCTGCAGGACGAAGTGGTAAGGTTTTAGGGGGGTGCTAAGTATTGTCATGGCTGAGTTGGATCTATGCAACTTAAATCACTTTCTCTAACTATAATCTTCTTTGAATAATAAGGTTTTAATTGTGTATCATTCTGAATATTTTTGATAAGCATTCTGTTCAGAATAATATTTAAAGTATTTATGTGCCATGTAAGTTATGGTACTTTTTCCCTCTATATGCATTTGAAGAACACCTGACCTGGATTTTGGTATTACATTTTTCTATCATCTTGCTATAATTCATTTTTTGAAACAGATTATGGAGACATCCATATGTTACCTCTGATTTACCTCCATTTAATTACACAAATGTGGCTTAAAAAGTGTTGATTAAAAAATGCTTGATTCGGAACACCTGTTTAATTAAAAAATTTAAACAATCAAAACTGAACAAACACACACACATGCAAACACATCTCTTCCCCATCCAAAAGACACAATGGAAATACTATACTCTTATTTTTTATCTTTTTTTATATTACTGATAGAATTTTATTGGTAGTGCACACTCGTAACTCCTAGCAATAACTTCCCTACGCTTTTCTTTCTATAAGCAGGTACAACTCTTTTGAAAATTTATTATGACATTTTAAATAGAAACAATGTGTCTGTGATCATTATTAATCTATACTGTATATAAGACTTTCCTTAATTTGTTTAAAAGAATAGTAACAATCTTGGATTAACATATTCTCTTGAAAGTTCAAATCAACAGATATAGCAAGGTTAAAAAATGAAACTACAAATACTACAGGTTTGCAAGCATTATTACAAAAGGACAGAAAAATAATTGGCAAAACATCTGAAAATAGCAAATAAAATATACTGTATATACAATATACAATTTGTGGGTTCCGATTCTATAGAGTAAAAAGCAAAAGGAAAAACAATTGGAATACTGAATGCCCAATTGTAATTTCACCAACGCTACTAAATAAAAAAGAAAGAAAGAAAATGAAAGCATAGTTGATTCACTTAGTTGCTCCCCTGGTATACTCCTTGAGTATGAAACTATATCTTAAACATTTTCTATTTTCTCCAGCACACACTGCACTTAGCATAATGCTTGAACATAAAATACTTTCGTTTTAAAACACTGTTGAATGAATGACTATCCAAAACACAATTTTAGGCATTCTACTAACATATTCTTGGAATATATTATGTCCTTAGAGTTAGAGAACTTAAACTATTTAAAACAAATTACTTAAAAATATTGAGAGCTCTATCCTTACCCCCATACAAAAGCTGGTTGCAATATTAATTCTGTGGATGCTGAGGGTAAGAGATTTATTACAATTTCTAAGAGCTGCATGTAGTTTGAGATAGAGAATACACTGATGAAGGATGAGGCAGAGGTTGAAGCTGATGAGACTAGGCAGGATGTGTTAAGGTTAGTTGTCTTATGGGACTGCATGGGAGCAGCATGAAAAGAAGGTGATTAATGTCAACATCCAGACAAGGGTCTGACCAGAGGTGGAGAGAGGAAGACGAGCTCATTCAGGATACTGAGGAGTAGCAGAGGAGTAGGAGACAAAGAAGAAGCTAGAATATTATTGAAGCCAAGAGAGGTTGCTTCAATAAAGAAGGAGAGAATTGTTAGAAGTAGTCATCGATTTAACATGCCGAAGTCTAGGAAGAAGAGAAAAGAAAAATTGGAAAGTATCTTTATCAATTTTTAATATTTAAAGAGGTTTCCTTGGGCACAGTACTCCAACAGGAATTGTTAAGGGGTTCAAAGGGATACACGATATTATTGCTGACCTAAGAGTTCACAACTAAAGAAAGAACAAAAGAAAATATGAGACATATTAGTGATTACAATAGACTATCAAATTGTAAGATACCAAGTATGAAAGCAAACACATCTCGAAAACATTTCTCTAAGAAAATCTTCCAAACTTTTTTTTAAATTAGATGACTAAAGTCGAAAGCTGAAAAGTAATAATTTTTTGATTATTTTGGGAAATAAATTTATATTCTTGTTCTAAGGATATACTCTCCTCTTTATTTCTAACAACATAAAAATAATATATGGAAATCAATGGTTCTGTCATTTAGATAAACCTTTGCTTAATACAATTTCCTTTCCCAATATATTAGACATTTTTTTGGCAGGGAAAGGAATAATTCATGAATATGAAGAATAAAGAGATCATGAGTCAAGTATATCTATTTATGTAAATTTGTGTATAAACATAACATAAATATTAAAATCTATCAAATGCTTTTAGATCTTCCCAGGATAAAGAGATGATGATATACCATGTTATAAATGATAAATAAAAAATTCCTGATCTTTCTTTTTGTTTATTACTCCTTGCAACATCATCCTAGACATTTTGGGGAGTATGTGAGGCTCTTGAAACTATACAGGCCATAAAACAGACTTTGGGGTTCACTCTGTTTCCTGTTCTTCCTCTCATTCCCCTGGCAAACATTCATGGCCTGCTCGAATGTTGAAGGAGCCTCATCAATGCCACCACTAAAGAAAGATGTCAACTATTCTGCTCTCTTGGTGGTCTCAAGTTGCCTATCTTCAGAGTACTGGAAGGCTCTAGATTCCATGAAGAGGTGGGAAGGATGGCCTCACCATTGCCTCTGTGAGCTAGATTTAGAGGAGTTCTGCTGCTGTTACTCAGATTTTATGTAAAATGTCTTAAAAAAATAAGTTCTCCCACTACAGACTTTCACTATGTAATTGCGAAACTCCAAGAGTTATTCTATTTCACTCTCTTTTATTCAGCTTCTTCTCTAATGCTCTTTCCTTTCCTCTGCTATTACAAATAAAATTTCCTATACAAATCAGCTAGCAAATATTTATTGAACATTTATTACACGTCACAAAAAGTGTTTTACATCATCTTGTTCATTCCTAACACACTCCTAAGTTAGGTACTATTATTAGCTCTAGTTTACCAATGAGAAAACGAAGGCATAAAAAGAGTAATTAATACTAGAGCGCATATTCAAATGCTAGCTTTCCAACACCACAACCCTTACGTTTAAGCACTCTCAATAGTGCTTTACATTACCAAAAATAGTCTCTAGAAGTTAGACAGCTTCAAGGTTTTTTTTTTTTCCACATGAGCTGAAGTTCAAACAGGCTAAGTGGTTTGATATATTAATAGTATGTATAATTATATTTCCATCAAACAAATGATAATCCCTTTTCAATTAGGCAGAATATGGTGAACATGGGATTTGTAAATTAAAAGGTACTTGGCTTTTGGCTTGAACCTCGTTATTCCTTGGTGTGACCTTAGGCTATTCGCTGTAACTGTGAACCTTCATTTCTTTGTCTTTAAAAATGTATAATAAAATCTATATTTAAATGAGAAATATTCTTAAGATAATGCATGTTAAAAAACCAGCATGGCACAGAATCCTTGGAAGGCAGCAACTAAGTATTATTTTCTTTCTTCTTTCTCTTATCCAAAAAATAAGTTAAACCATCCAGACCCTATGCTTCATTAGGTAGACTCCTTTTGTAATACACAGCATGAGATGATGAGGATGGTCCTACTCAAAATTCTAAATGCTATACAAGTTATTTTCTTCTGTAAGCAGCCAGTGAAAATTAAAGCTTAATTCAATGCTATGTAGCTTGCTATACTCATTTTTTCTGGGATGTATATGCACAGGTGATTTATAGAGGAACACAAGAAATATACAATGAAATATAACGCTTCCACTTGGTAAAATACTACAGAGCTACTGATACCAAGGGTTCTATAAATGTTAATGAAATCATTTCTGTGTAGCCATATTAAAATATATTTACTTGATAATATTAAAATCATGATTGTATTTGAAGTTCAGAAATGCAAGTAGCATCTTTAAATGGATAATATAATGCACCATTCTTAACCTCTATGAATAAAAAGAAACAAGTCCCCAAAGAGCTATAGTTCAGCTGTAATACAAGTTATTTTGTGTCTGCGGAAAATTTCAATGCCATGCATGGTCCCCATTCTGCTCACGAAATCTAAGAATTCTATTAAGAATATCTGACTCTTATCAAACACAGAAAAACTATTTTTTGCTCAGCTATGCAGATAATTTAATTCTCCAGCTTTTGTTCCTTTATAACATACACAAACAGCAAGGATTCTTTCTTCACTAATGCATTCTTTAAATGAAGGGAAAAAATCAATTTACTTTCTACAATAAAATGCCCCAGGTTTGACCACATTCAAACTTAAAAGTGCAAGTATTTCTATTGTTTTCCTAGTTCCGAAAATGTATATGCCTGGTAAAAAAGAGACGAAGTCTTAATAGTTAACAGCACATTGGGTTCCATATTTCTATTTGTAAACATACATACATATTTATGATACTGAAAGCAATTTCCACTCCAACAATTTTTTCTGCAATTTACCCCAGCATCTTGCATAGAGGATGGGCTTAAGGAAATTCTGGCTAGGGCAATCAGATAAGACAAAGAAATAAAGGGTATTCAATTAGGAAAAGAGGAAGTCAAATTCTCTCTGTTTGCAGATGACGTGATTGTGTATTTAGAAAACCCCATCATCTGAACCCAAAATCTCCTTAAGCTGATAAGCAACTTCAGCAAAGTCTCAGGATACAAAGTCAATGTGCAAAAATCACAAGCCTTCCTATACACCAATAACAACAACAACAACAAAAAACAGAGAGCCAAATCATGAATGAACTCCCATTCACAATTGCTACAAAGATAATAAAATGCCTAGGAATCCGACTTACAAGGGATGTGAAGGACCTCTTCAAGGAGAACTACAAACCACTGCTCAAGGAAATCAAAGAGGACACAAACAAATGGAAAGCCATTCCATGCTCATGGATAGGATAAAAGTAATACCGTGAAAATGGCAACATTGCCCGAAGTAATTTATAGATTCAATGCTATCCCCATCAAACTACGGCTGACTTTCTTCACAGAATTGGCAAAAACAAAACTACTTTAATTTCATTTGGAAACAAAAAAAAGAGCCCACCTAGCCAAGACAATCCTAAGCAAAAAGAAAAAGCTGGAGACATCACTCTACCTTACTTCAAACTATACTACAAGGCTACAGTAACCAAAACAGCACGGTACTAGTACCACAACAGATATATAGACCGATGGAGCAGAACAGAGACCTCAGAAATAATACCACACATCAAGAACCATCTGATCTTTAAAAAACGTGACAAAAACAAGCAATAGGGAAAGGATTCTCTATTTAATAAATAGTATTGGGGAAACTGGCTAGCCATATGCAGAAAGCTGAAACTAGATCCCTTCCTTACACCTTATACAAAAATTAACTCAAAATGGATTAAAGACTTAAACCTAAAACCTAAAACCATAAAAACCCTAGAAGAAAACCTAGGCAATACCATTCAGGATGTAGGCATGGGCAAAGACTTCATGACTAAAACACCAAAAACAATGACAACAAAAGCCAAAATAGACAAATGGGATATAATTAAACTAAAGAGCTACTGCACAGCAAAAGAAACTATCAGCAAAGTGAACAGGCAACCTACAGAATGGGAGAAAATTTTTGCAGTCTATCCGTCTGACAAAGGGCTAATATCCAGAATCTACAAAGAACTTAATCAAATTTACAAGAAAACAAAAACAACCCCATCAAAAAGTGGGCAAAGGATGTGAACAGACACTTCTCTAAAGAATACATTTTGTGGCCAAAAAAACATATGAAAGAATGCTCATCATCACTGGTCATTAGAGAAATGCAAATGAAAACCACAATGAGATACCATCTTACACCAGTTAGAATGGCGATCATTAAAGTCAAGAAACAACAGATGCTGGAGAGGACGTGGAGAAATACGAACGCTTTACACTGTTGGTGGGAGTGTAAATTAGTTCAACCATTGTGGAAGACAGTGTGGTGATTCCTTAAGAATGTGGAACTAGAAGTACCATTTGACCTAGCCATTATATTACTGGGTATATACCCAAAGGATTATAAATCATTTTACCATAAAGACACATGCACACATATGTTTACTGCAGCACGATTCACAATAGCAAAGACTTGGAACCAGCCCAAATACCCATCAATGATAGACTGGATACAGAAAATGTGGCACAGACACAACATGGGATACTACGCAGCCTTAAAAAAGGATGAGTTCATGTCCTTTGCAGGGACATGGAAAAAGCTGGAAACCATGATTCTCAGCAAACTAACACAAGAACAGTAAACCAAACACCGCATGGTCTCACTCATAAGTGGGAGTTTAACAGTGAGAATACATGGACACAGGGAAGGGGACATCACACACCAGCACCTGTCAAGGGGTGGGGGGCTAGGGGAGGGAGAGCATTAGGAGAAATACCTAACGTGAATGATGGGCTGATGAGTGCAGCAAACCACCATGACACGTGTATACCTATGTAACGAACCTGCACATTATGCATATGTACCCCAGAACTTAAAGTATAATAAAAAAAACTGTGTCTTCAAACGATGTATAAGAGAGTAAAAAATATTCAGTCTGGAAGAAAAATACTTTATAAAACTAATATTATTTTATTATACTTTTGCTAAATTCTAAGTAAAAGTAAGTTAGGTAATATAGCTGTGATTAAACCATGAATAACAATACAATCACCAAAAACATCACCACTTAACAGTTATGTGTTACTTTTCTCTAAAAGAATATACTACAGAAATTCTAAAAGGTAAGACAGGAAATTTATAAATATCATCTATCTCTATAGAGTTGCTTTGACCAACATTACCTTTCTACACAAAAGTTTATTAAAGGGTGACTTTTTTAAAATCAGGGATTTTTTTGTAAGGTGAAGGAACAATCAAAAATGTTTTGAAACGATTCTGTCGGGAAATTTAGAAGTTATTATATAGGTTATGTACAATTAGAATCTCCAGAACTGATGAATAAAGTACTCCTTTGAATAAGTATGCAGTATGCAATATGTGGGACACATTAATACTAAAAAATTTTCCTTTGCATATTTGAAAATCAAATTTAATTGGGCATTCTGCATTTTGCGTAGCAACTCCAAATTCCTGCTTATCTTTTAGTTATGTTCTAAATATGTTTTAGTAACTAAGTTGATACATAAAATTTACTTCTAAAGGATTTTATAACTATTCAAAATTATTAATCTCTGCCTTTTCTCTCATCCTTTGATGAACATCCCTATTCCCTTTCAAATGTGCAGAATATCTCACCAATTTGGAGGCATTAATAGTCCTTTAATATTGAACTGTGTAGTCATTTTTTTACTCCCCAACATGTGAGATTGCGTATCTAAAAAAAAATGTCAGATTTGGGATGTGGACCTTTATTACTCAAACATACATACATACATACACACACACACACACACACACACACACACACACATGCACACACACACACACACAATCTAGAGCAGGAACTCTGCAGTAGGGGCCATGCCCCTTGCATGAACTATTCAGTCTTACCATCCTCCCTTTGTTTCCAACAGATTCAGATGCAACAACAGGAACGACAACAACAACAGACACACACCCTTAACTCACTTAATGCTACAACAGTATGGCTGTAGTAGTTTTATGAGATTATTTAGAACAAAAGGGTTTGTAGAAAGTCTGAATTCACTTATATCCTGGAGTGTTATGACAAGAGGAATGAATGGGGCAAGGTTCTATGGAGGAACGTGCAGTGCATAGGATTCTTGACGCAGGGTAAAGATGCTGGGCAGTGATGATAAATACAACAACAGCGGTGACCCTAGAATGGGACTATAGAAGGTGCCTGATACATGGAACCGTATCGACTGGGAAGTGCTTGTGGCATCTATGAGTGAGTTCAGGGATAAAATTAGCAACTCTGCCTAGCAGGTGCGTTCTTTGCTTTTAGAACAAAAAAATACTAATAGCACAATAAAAGCAGAATATGGCAGGAAACATTTCTGGAAGAGGAAGGCAGGCAGAATGAACTGTGTAAAGACACAGCTTATGCAGAAATCACAAATGTACTTTAATCACTGATATAAACTCAAACACCAAATAAAAATCAACTTTTCAGCAATGAACTTTCATTAGATCTTTTTTTAATTTAAAACTCTAAACCTAAGGGCTCTCCTCTAATTCCTTTTCTCAGGGAAAACCCTCAATGGCTTGAATTACCTCAATATCTTTGCCTTAATAAAACACCAATGAATGCAAACTCAAATAACTTATTATATACCTTAATGAATCCTTTTCAAACTTCTATTAAAATTTACCCAAAACATAAACTAGATGGCATTATTTACTTATTAAAAACCTGTTAATTTGCAATTGTTCTAGTTTGATGGAATTACTACCCAATTTAGAAATGTGAAATTTATAAACTATTTTCCAGAAATATATCTGTTGTTCTGGTGAGGTTTATATATACAATTATGCACATATGTATATATGCATATGTGTCTTTATTTTTACAAATGTAATTACGTGCATGTGCACACATGGGGTATTTATGTAATTCTTAAACAATTTCACTCTCTAGAGTTCAGACACATGACTTAAACAGACTGAGACTTTCAATGTAAAGTTCCACTGAACAATTCAGTGCAAAATCTTGACATTATTTAACCTAATTTTAGTAATATTGTTCAATTCTTTTAACTTAGTGGCAATCATACAGTAGATGTTGATTAATATTTTAGAAAAAAAAGTGTGTGATCTGAATCTTACGTTCATTTAAACAAAGACATTTTGTTAAGAACAAAGTTGCCATCATAGTTGCATGAAAGGAATTCACAGGGAACATTTTAAACAAATAAAGTAGCTCAGAATGTTGTAGTAATCTTGTGCCAGAAAGATGATGTGCTAATGAGCTTAGCTACATAAGAAATTTGCATGTCATTTAGAAAATTTTAGACAACAGTAAAAATGTGAAGAGGAAGAGATGGCAAAAACAGCTTTGCGTTTGGAAAACAAAACCAATGGATTAGCAAGGAAGATGAATGTGAATGGATACATAGGTATTAGTGAGGAGATTCTTATCAAATCTGACAGTAAATTCTAAACTGTGTAGAGGGGACAGGACTAGTATAAGGGAAAGAGAGGATGGACAAACTTAGGATATAAGCCAAGTTGGACAGGATTCGTAACTCTGAATAAAGAAAATGAGAAGGATGATCAAAAATGACTCTAGGATTTTCAGCCCCATTGAGTGTAAGAATGTTGGTGTCTCTGGCAGAAGGGAGGCTGGGACTCTTTGTCCTTTAGCTGCAAGTAGTAGATGCATTCACCCCACAGTGAGAAAAGAAAGTAGGCATCAGTAGGCATCGAAGAAAAATGGAGGAGGATAGAACGTTTAGTTAGATTTGACTGCTTGGCAATGCTTAGGCACTAGTAGATCAGAATGGTGCCTTTTTCATATATCTAATTTGAGTTTTGAAAGTATCTTATTATAAACAATATGTACAGAAGGGAAAGTTAATGCATCTGTCGACTTTTATATTTTTATTTACTTTGGTCTTTGAATCTTCCAGTTTCATGTTGACTGATTGACTGTGACATTACAAAGTGGTATGAATGTATTTGTCTTTGTCATGCAAACGTCAAATGCATGTATTTAAAGCATTTAAATTATTAAACAGGTAAACTTATTTAATGCATCTCTAATATATGAATGTGAAACTATAGCAACTCAACAGAAAGCATTAACATCTATTTTCTTAAAAGGTCTGAAAATTTAAATTCTGCAGCAGGATTTATTTTTCATAGCTGTAATATTTTCCCTGTATTTCCCATAGGAGGAAAAATGTGAATTTTATACCAAGCCAGGGGAAGATCATCATCAAGAATAGTGGTCTAGGTCACAAGTTGTTCTCTGGCTTTTAAGGTTTGACCTCTGAAGGTCGCTCATGTCCATATTTCAACTTTTTAAAACAAAGATACAGAGCAATTTAGTGATCAAGTAAGTATATTAATAATATCTGCAGACCTATCCAGGACACATTTCAAAACCTCTCTTAAAAGCACTCATGGAAGTGCTTTATACCTTTTAAAGTATTTATGTGTGTTATTATTCTATTAATAATGATAAAATAGGTTTCCCATTTTGGACAAAAAGGGGGACATTTAAAAATATTATTTTATATTAGATATTATAATAGAGCATATTTCAGGTATGATTGCTGAGAGATTATATGGGAAGGCTAAACATTTTAACAAGGAGAATAAATGTTTTCTGGTATCTCTCATATAAGCATATTTCTTACTCAGGTTAATAAAGATTAAGTTTCATTCTTCATTTTCTTCTAGAGAATTAGCTTTCAAATTGAAGACAACAAAGCCAAATGTAAATTTGACTCAAGTCCTGTGAAAAACAATGAGACTATGTGGCTATCTCTAAATTATTCAATTAACAACAGAGCCTGGGCTAAGACCTAGATATTTTGATTTTTAGTTTGTTATTATCTTCACTCCAGTGTAATTCATTTTTTTACGAATTAATGCACAAGTAAATGTGTAGGCTATTCAGGAGCTTTTAATTTGCAATAATGTTGGAAGGAAAATTAATTTAGATAATCAAATGGGGAATAGTTCTTTGAAGGTGTATTTGTTAATTATTATTTTTTTAGGTTAGTTTAGGACAATATGTTAAAATGAAAAGACTTACTAAGATTTGTAATGAAACTTGAACACTTTGGCCTTTATGACATGTCACAGAGGAATATTAAATAGTGTTTATCTTCTCCAGTGCATTTGAAATCAGTGAGGGATGAAGATATATTTTACTTGACCAATAGAAAAAAAAAGACCATAAACTGATTCTGAATGCACATCATGTACTTTTCATCTTCTGACAGAGCAGTATTTCAGAAGATAACAGAGAGGAGGAATTTATGGCAGGTGCATTACCACTTAGAAACTAATCTCACCCACATGGCTATTAACGTGAAATATGGATTTTAATAATCCTGGCTCTGTGAGTTGTGTGATCCTGCCTGGTGGGAATGTGATTAGCCATAGTCTGCAAGATTAATTGAGATATATAGCACAGGATTACACTTTGTGAACTTCAAACTACTCTGATTACACTAGAGTCTGCATACTTAATCCATATCCTTATAGCTTAAAAAAAAAAAAAAGACCAGACACAAATAAATCAACATTTGATTATGATAGGAAGAACACCTCTGTCTTTTGGTCATTAAAAAGGTCAGTTAAGTAGAGTGTAGAAGTCTTCCACAGGCAAGAAAAAAATTAAAAGATAGATAGAATTCACTCGTAAGAATGTTGATACATCATTAGTAGGTATATTGTTTAAAAGTGACTTCTACCCAAGAGAGAAAAATAGTTTCTGACGACACCACATACAAATTTAGAAAATGGGAATTTTAAATCAAGAGATTTAATTAATGAGAGGGAATTGGTCTTATTTTGTAAAAGAGATAGTGAGAGTGACTTAGTTAATGTCTTAAATGGGCAGTTTCCTATGGTGTTTCCAAATGCTGATATATCTGCCAAGTAAAAGAATAAGAAAGCTATTAAGCTACCATCTATGAATTTTTAATTCTTATTAGATAATATTTTAAATGACTTAAACCCACCTATGAAGACTGTTATACATATAATAGAGTAGGGAACATATTTTAATAAAATTAATTGCTTACATGTGAGATTAAGTTCTAAAAGTGTGCCTTTTATAAAGTTCTGTATAATACAGGCAGCCTCATTATCAACATCTCCCAATATGTAGGATGCATTTCCACCTATGCACACTTGTGAAACCCAACCAACTGCTCTCATCAGATTTGTTCCCCCTTCTGTATCTAGTCCCTCTTTTATTGATAGCAGCACTAGCCACACAGTAATAAAATAAACTTTGCTATTATCATTACTCTTTATGTTAATCCCCATAAGCCAACAGAGCTCAGTTATTAAATATTTAACAAATGATTAATATATATTTTTAAGAGTCTTCTCTTTGGAAAAGTTTGATGGCGTCTCTCTCCACCCTGGTGATGGTTCAGCTTGTCTGAGCTATCCCAACACTCTGCTCTAGTTGGGTAGTTTTCTGTTATTCTAGTGTATAACACTGGTCTGTATTCCTTATTAGATTGTGAGGATCCTGACACTTGAGGATCAGGACTATGTAATCTCATCATCTAGCACAGTACCAGCTCCACAGTCTCTGTTCAAAAATAATTAAAAACTGTTTTTCAAACCCATCGCCCCTGCTCCTCTTTCTGCATTCTGTTTTCCTGCTAAAGTACACTTCCCAGGTCCTAAAGAGTCCTTCCCCTTTCTAACCTCTAAATATGCTGTCTCATGGTTTTATAAACAACTGCATTTCTTTTTGGTAAGCTGTTTATCAACAAAAATGAGTTGCTCTAGAACAAGCAAACCTGACAAAAGTAAAAAAATTAGGCCTAATACTTGCTTAAGTGAATCAGGATTCTAATAACCAACCAAGTACAGAATAAATATATTCAATACTGTAAGAATTTGAGTATACACACAATCACCTCTGTAGTTGTATCAGTGAATTTATCAGGGGCATGTAGGCATGGAGTCTTTTCTGTAGGAAAAGGGAATGAAAAATTCAGGAGTCTTCAGCTGGTAATGGAGAAAGGTAACACTATGAGTAAAATTTGAGAAATTTCAGTAACTCTTCTTAGAGCATATCTGGATTCAGTGACCACATTCTAGGAACACTAGGCCTTGAAGAAATCTCTGTAAATCAGAAGGACTTATAAAGGGAGTACTGTTTTATATAAATAATACAATAATAAAGCACAATCTTCTAGAAAAGAGGACAGAATAAGAATATGTATGTGTTCAACAGAGATTCGTATACACTTCTGGGTGACAGCTGTAAAGTGGGCAGTTAATGAAGCCAGAAGATATTGGAAGATACAGCTAATTTTTTGTTGTTGACTTATTAGCTTTTTCCAAAATAAACCACAGGTAATGCCAAAAGCAGATTCACAGGCTAAATCTAACGGAGTCCAAATGACTGTGTTATTTGGAAATAATTATTGGAATGCCAGATGCTCTATAACGAAGAATTCCCGGGCAACATAAAAACATTTTAAAGAAAATAAACATGCTATCTTCTGGGAAAGACTCAGTCACTGATGACAAAGAGGAAATTCTTCACTTGGGGATAACTTTCGCATTTTTTATTTTTTTACTCCTCATTTTTCCTCTGTGAAAACAGATGTATTTCATCTTCAAAAGTATAATGAATTCTAGAGAGTAGTGTATACCTACAGGGATATATAGAATGCATATATAGATAAAAGATAGTGATAGTATTTAATATTT
The DNA here is from genome assembly GCF_000001405.40 of Homo sapiens. Taxonomy (NCBI): domain Eukaryota; kingdom Metazoa; phylum Chordata; class Mammalia; order Primates; family Hominidae; genus Homo; species Homo sapiens. The sequence goes on along the minus strand of NC_000011.10, from coordinate 99,704,658 downwards.
TAAATGTAGTAGGTACGTAGTAAACATTTCATGATTAATATGTATTTGAGATAAAATCGGGTTCTCTTTTTTGTATTATAATAAACTTATTACACACATTTAGAATCTTTATTAACATTTGATAGTAAAAGGACAAAACATTTCTAGTATTTCATATATATTTTTATCTTGCAGACCAAAACATAGCTCAATTTGTTTGGTTTTTGTAACCTTCATCTAGGAACCACACTAATCTGAGTTGTAGAGTGCACAACTTAAGTCTATTCACAAAACTCACTTTTTAAATTAAAAGAAAAAAATTAAAAGTCAACATGGCTTTTAATTTTTACCTCCAATTCATATCAATTTTGTAATCATTTAACGTGGCATTTAATAAGTTCCTGTGTGATTTAACTTGGCACTTAGTAAGTTCCTATGTGAATACCTGGTGGATTCCCAGTCTGGGATGGAATATTGACTCTTCTGGAAATGTTGCACAAAACAGTATAGAACTCAGAGTTATGAATGGGGTCAGTCACTGGGGGCCAGAAAACCATATGAGTTTATTAATATACATGCATATGGGTGTATGTATACACACACACACATACACACACACACATATATATATATACACACATATAATTATTTATTGCCTTCATTTATTATGGTGCTTAAGCAGTTCACTACAATGTCCTATAAATCCATCACAACTTGTTTCAGATTATTTATTCTCATTCTTACTCTACCTACAATCCTATGCATTAATCATTTCTTATATATCATACATTTTATATAGCTCATGCACTATAATTTCTAGCAACGAAATTTCAACGTTGTTTGGATCTAATGATAGTTGAATGAGATCCAGTAGAGTTACTCAAATGCTATATATCTGTGTTAAATGATCAAATTAACCAATGGCCAATAACTTCATATGTTGAAATCTTATCAATATAAGCATCATATTGAACTAATAGAACATGTCATTAGATATGTCTGTGGCTTTTGTAATCAAACAGAACTAAATTTTAATTGTGATTTGACCACTTGGTAGCAGTGTAAATTTAGGTGCACTTCTTAAACTTTCGGATTTACAAATTTCCTCATCTTCAAAACAGAAACAGTAACACTTACCTCGTAAGACTATTGTGAAGATTACATATAAATAATTTTATTCAGTGCTTAGGAGATACTAAGCACTGAAGAAATGACAAGTATTTTTATTATATATTACTACTATTCATAGAAACATTTATGCAATGAAAACATTATCAAGATATAAAGATCATTTGACAGGAAGATATATATCACTTCAGTCCATGTAAGAAGTGAAAGAAACTTAACAAAACTCAACCTCTAGATAATTTAATCTGCATCAGTATGGCTTGTTTTAATCTTGATTAGAAAGCAAGCACACTGTCATAAAACAAGCAAAAAAAAAAAAAAAAACCCCAAATACCTTTGATATGTATTTGGTTTTATAAAAAACACTCAGGAAATTAAAACTTAAAAATCAAAACTCAAAGATTATAAATACGCAATCATTAACATTTTTAAAGGATTTTAAAGTAAGAGTTATAGAGCTAGTGCTTGAAGTTGACATTTTCATTTATTATATAGAAGAAAAATTCTTCCTGTGTCCTATTAAAACATCCTATACATCTTCATGCGACGTTTATACATTCCCTCAGTGTATCGAAGTATCTTTATTTTAAAAGGGAAAGAAAGTTTCAACACACTTCATCCTTATATACTTCATTAATTAGATCCTTTCTAGAGGCTATCTCACAAACAAAAATAAATGAGAGTATTTCTTCTTTCCTGGAGAGATGATTCCTACTTTTATCCTTAGTAAACAGCTTTTCAAACCAATATTTCAACACTGAATAGGAAACAGATGGATCTTCTGGAGGATTCCTGAATTAACTCAAATGCTAACATCAAACATCTTGGATATAAAGACACAAGAATGGGCTTTCATATATGTAAGTATCCTGAAAAATATTGATAAGTAGTGCTTAAATGCTGCTGGAGTGAATATGATCCAATTTTGAAATATTTATTGTTGAAGACAGCAAAATGTCAGGAGAATGAGTTAGTATGCATCTAGTTTTCAATTAGAAAAAGAATCTAAATATTATAACAAAACTGATTATGATAATAATTACATTTTAATCCTATGTCTAGTGATACTAATAAGCCTGCCATTATTAAATATATGAAACATTATCCACTGAAGTACTTTACAACATTTTATTCATTTTTTAACACCTGATATTTTATTGCCAATAGGTTGAAAATGGGAAAGTGAGCTACAAACAAGGCTGTGTGTTCGGTTGGTGACAAGGCTAGTAACAGAAAAGAATACTTCATATGTCCAAATTTTTCATTATTATTAGCCCCTTGCTACCCATATGAAATATGTACCTTAAAAATATGGTTAGGTAGGTGCTGCAACATTTACAATAAACTGGGGCTGCAAATAACTTGTGCATAAAAATGGAAAATTAGATTTATTCCACCTGCATTTGCATAATATCTTCTTCTTGATAAGGTAGTTTTTGTGAGCTTTTGTCTAATAAGGAGAGTTATCTCTATTAATAACTATATAACTTAAATATACTCACTGATTAACAAAAACTCACAAAAATGCAGTAAATAAATAAGGACTGTGACTGGGTTCCTTGGCCTCTTGTTAATGTCACAAATTAATTGGTATTAAGCAATTTGGAATGCTTTTTCACAGTAGAATCAGACATAACTGTATGAAGAAATTAGGAGTAAAATAGCTCAATATGAATAAAGCAATGTTAAAGGCCAAGTCAAAGAGAAAGAAGAGCCAAAGGCAGCAGAATCTATGAATCATCTTCATAGTTACTCTAACAGACTTTGTGATAGTCAGAGAACAATTCTAAATGTAGAGTTTTAAAAAATTATTTTCTTAGTTGAAAGCAGTACAGGTTTATTATAGGAAAGATCAAAATAAAAATGAAAATTAAACATTTTCTATTTATTTCTATTGGAGATAATATTTTAAAAATATATAGGAACTATGACTTCATTTTTTAAACAGAATAGGATAACACATATACAATTTGATCATCTGAATTCAAATTCAGAATGCTTCACTTTCATACATAAAATTATTTTTATTTTGTTCCATTAAATATATCTAATATTTATATCACTTTGAAAAACATCTGGATATTTGGGAATAAGTCAGAATCCCAAAACTAATGAACTCTTCTCTTCATATTCTACAAGACCAGCTTGTATTCTATTACCTATTGAAAAAATAGATGGTTATATCAATAATCTCTTACTCATAGTATTCAAAAATAACTACTTTTTTCCTAGGACTTTTCTCCAAACTCAGCTTTCTGAGATGATTTCTCAGGTTCCATCTCTTCCACTTTACACTTTACTCTAGTCCCTATTTCCTTATGAAGCTCATTTGCATTCTTTATCTGTTGTTTGGCTGATTTCTATTTGTATCTACTGAAGAAGAAGAACAAGACTTTGCTTTTGATTTCCATATGCCCTTCAGTGAATCAGCACATAGGTATTGTGTTTAAAAATGCTTGTACAATAAATGAATGTATAAATTAATGGACATATTTTAAGAAAATAAGATGGTCCTTAAATAGATATTTCACTTCATTCTCAGTAATGAAAACTTTTATTTTCCTGTCATCATTGCTGCTAGTAGTTACAAAAACCACCTGCCCTATGTCTTCTTCCCTTTCTGCCAAGATGGAAGGTAGAACATTTTGATACTCATTTTGGGGGAGGTAATCAAAGGGGAGAATTACAGCAAATCTTATTGAAGCCTTATCCTCCATGCACCCCCACTCTCTGCCTTTTGACAAAGTCTGCTTCCATGCATTGTATGAACAATAGCATGAAATTGCTATTCCTTGTGTAGATAGGACCAGGACAGTAGCCATTTAATACAGAATAAATCTCACCTGCTCATTTCTTCTTTCTCATTGTATTTCTTTTACCGTTACTCGGCCACCATTGCTGCATTTCATGACAAAATTAAGGCTTTTATTATTTTTGAAATGTGAAGCATAAGAACAAAAATTAAACAAGGTCACTAAGTACTTGATTTTTCAGTCAACCTGCTAATATCTGCCTAACCACCTTTTAGAGCTAGGTGAGATAAAAATGGAGACATTGAACAAAATCATGTAATGTATGTCTGCATAGCCTTGCCTTGTCTAAATGTAATTTCCTAAATATTCTGCATTGATCAGTTTTCAGTAAAGAAAATGCTGATATATTTAATTGCCCTAAATGCGTTTTATATTTCATAAACGTAGCATTTCACACTCAGGATTGGCAAAGTTATTTTCACTATCAAGTTGTGTGATCATAGAATCATGGATGGAAATGACCGAGTACTCTACTTTAAGAGATTACTAATTCTGCTTCCCAAAACATAATATTTAACATTCAGTCCCAAAGAAAACTTGCTCCATTAGAACATTATGATGTTATAACGTTTTAAAGAGAAGAAATTAAAAAGTGTTTTTCTCTGGGTAAATTTGGCAACTCTTTTGGATTAACTTTATTCTTTTTGGCAAGATATAGTGGTGCTATACATTTTCATGATGATACCTGTGGAACCATGGAGGCCAATATCAAATTGGTATTAAATGGAATAATCATGTATTCATGTATTCATATATTCATTCATTTACCCAATATGTGCCAGGCTGCTGTGTTAGGGTTTGCAAAGTGCTCTCAGTGGAATGAAGCACAACTTTTAAGTGTAATCAAGTAATTGTGAAATGCTGTGAGGTCTTAGCAATAGGGACCTATTATGTAAAGTTAGCAGAAATAAAGTAGCTAGATTTATAAATAAAGGCCACAGGAATAAGAGAAAAGGAAGACAATAATGAGCTCTTTATGGGGTTAGAGTGTACACTAAAGGTGGTAGTGAGGTGTTTAAAGCTCTTCAAATGCATCCCATGATCTAACAATGGTTAGTTTTCTTGAACTTAAAGTGGAAACACTTAGAAAGTGAGTAATTTTAACAATAGATGATTTATATACACTTAATACTTCGCTAGGCACATCACTGGCTTATCCCTAGCCTTTGTAGTGATTCAGTTTTATAGATAAAAAATCAGAGTATTGTTTATTCATTACTTTTTCAAGTACAAGTAGATCCCATTTTCATCCATAATAAAATCTGGAAGTCTTACATGATACCTCAATGCATAATATTTGAAGAGAAATTTGAGATATGTGTGTTATAAAGAAAGTTATTTTACTGTAGATATTAAAGAGTGATAAAAACTCAAATTAGGACATATACTTTTAGATTTTTTAAAAAGTTTTTTAGATGTTAATTTTAAAAGCATTAGAAACACAAATTAAACATTAAATATAAGTAGCAAATGTTGTATCTTGAATTTTACCTCAAATTTAATTTTCTTAGTTAATTTTAAAGTGTCATTGCTTAGGAAATACTAAAAGGATTTGCTTTTGTAAGAAATTGTTCAGGAAAATCATCACGACATGAACAAGAAATGGCTTTACTACATATTTTCAAATCTTGGTGAGAAGAAAATTGAACGTTATCTTCCTTCTCTTCATGAAAGATATACCATGATCTACCTTTATTAACCATGTTATGTCCCTATGAACTTCTCTTTGCATTTATTCAGGAAAAAAAAGTTTTAATTTTTATGCTCACAAGAGTAGCTCCCTCTTTGGAAACTCTCCTCAGAATCAAGTTTTTTTTTTTTTTTATGTTTTTGTGTTTTTATGCTTCCCACACTGTCTATACTACTTATTTAATCAGTACCTAATAGAAATCAAGATTCACAGCTTTGCTCTTTAGAATACTTTCATGATTGTGATTATAGTATTACAAGAATCAGTAATTTCATTTTTCTATTTTCCCCCTAATTTTATGATGTGGGAAAATGTAACAAGTATTTAGTTAATTGTAAAGACACTTCTGTATAAATTAAAACAAAATGGGAGTATTGGTTTGTCAGGCAATACTACCATGCAATTACTGAAACAATGTGTTCAAAAGTTGGAACAGTTGGTATAGGAAATATATTTTAGAAGTGTTAACATATAATGTGCGACTCTGCAGGTAGTGTTAAAGTATTGCCTCTGTCACCATAAGCATGCAACTACAGTCAGTAAATGCATTTGACCCAAAAAGGAGATAAATAAGCTAATAACATTGTGAATATTCATGAAAACACAGTTAGGGACTCAAAATAAATATAATTTATTACAAAGGGATTCCAGGGTTTTAAATCTCTGGGAATATTTTTAGAATACGGTTTTTAGTGAGTATTTCCCCTTTATAGCTTTCTTCTCTTCTCTAGACATTTTAAATAATCAAATTACAAGTAATATTCTTATCTTTATTTTTCTGTTAAACAGAAAATATTTGAATAATATAATATTGAATAATGTAATGTAATACTTGAATAATGTATTTCTGTTAAACAGAAAATACACTGAATAATGTAAAATACTTTGGAAAACTCCGAGATTTTGGTGGCTACTACAACAATGAATTAAGGGGATAGGAAATACGTAGTAAAAAAAAATCTTATTTCAGAAGTTAAAAAAAAAAACACTAACATATAAACTAAACTGTGCAAATAATGAAAAACGTTCAGTAAAACAGTCGTCGAAACGGTTAATGTTCAATTTTCCTTTTTGCTATTTAGGAAAAACAAATTAGTTGCATAGCTGAAGAGACTAATATGAATACTAAGCTAGTAAGGAAGGAGAATGTTAAATTGTAATCAGGGTCCCCATGATTGCTTTTAAATCATATGACTGGCTGTTTAGTTTGTTTTATAAGCTTTTTAACAATAGGTTTAGATTTCAGAAAAATTTAAAAGATAGTACATACAATTCCCATACACCCCACACTTGGTTTCTAGTATTATCGATACCTTATATTAAGGTATATTTGTAAAACTTAGTGAATCTATATTGATAGATTAATATTCATTAAAGTTCATACTTTATTCAGATTTCCCTAATTTTCTCTAATGTTACTTTTTTTTCAAGATCCCATTTTACATTATTCAACACATCTCCTTAGGATCCTCTTGTCTGTGACAGTTTCTCAGCCACTCATTGTTTTTGATGATTTTGAAAGCTTCTTGGAGCACTAATCACATTTTCTGTAGAGTATCTTGAAATTTTCTGATGTTTTAATAATTAATTTTATGAATTTTGGGTTTTTGGGAGTTAAGGTGCCATTCTCAAAGCATCATATTAGGCGTACATAGTATCAGCATGATTTATCACTGTTGATGATGACCTTGATCACTGAACATAGGCTGTAAAGTTTCTCTCTCTCTCTCTCCCCCTCTTTTTCTCTCTCCCCAACCCCATCCTTCTCCACACTCTATTCTTGGGAAGAAAGTCACTATGTACAACACACAGAAGAGTTATGTTGTATTTCTTTAAGCGTTGAACAGCTACATAATTTATTTGAAATTCTGCATAGGAGATTTTCCCTTCTCCCTCATTTACTTATTCAATTATTTATTTGTATCAGTAGGGACTCAAGGACATTTATTTTATACTTTGGATATTAATTCATACTATTTTTTTGGATTGCTCAAATTGTCCCAGCTTTGGCCTTTAAGAGTTTCCAGTTGACTCATGTGTCCTTTTTGACATTCCCATCAAGAGAGGGTTTGTTTGGTTCTGTAAAGCACTTTTGTTGTTGTTGTTGTTTGTTTTTAATCCATAGTCTTTAAACTTAAGTTCTTTGTAAACTATTATGTGCATAGAAACCTTGATATTACTTGGAACCAGCCTGGGTCTTACACAGTGTGGGTTTACTTAACTAAAAGTAGCACAAACACTTTAAAGGCAATCACAATTTTTCGGACACTGCCAAACCAAGATACCAATAACATCATCTGAAATCTCTGCAGAGACTATTTATAAAAACATGGAACTGTTTTCTTTCTGTCATAAAAAATATAATCATGATAGAGTGGAAATATCTAACTGTATTAGTTTAGTAAAAAGTTAAAAAAAAAAAAGAATGACTACTGATGGTACTTGTACTACTAGTCTTCATCCCATAACTGACATAGCCAATTCCTCCATAAATATTACAACATCTCAACTTATCTATAGTCTAAAATCAAACACCCAGATAGTGACTGTTCCTTAGTTGAGCCTGGGGATTAGATCAATTCCACTCTGTTTAATCTGAACCATTATTGCTTTTGGCTAATTTGTCTTGCTGAGGACTTTCCAAATAAAAATACTCTATCTCATCATACTCTGTCAAACAAAAATGACAATGAAAGATAAAAATGGGTATAGGCAAAATAAGGAAAAACTTAATTTAAATGTTCATGATTTGAGTTTAAACTCTGTGAGAGTATGCTTGGTTATAATATTCCTCATAGACATGTAAGGAAGCTCTATTGTGGCAAACATATCTTTAAAGCACTTCATTCATTTTAACCTCACACAATGCTCCAGGCTTATGGCTGATATACAGGTATAAAGAAAATATTGGATTCAGGTCAGCCCTCTTTTATAGACCCTTATACATCCCTTTTCAGTTTAGAATAAACATTGGTATATGAGGTAGTGAGAAAACTATGTTGAAAAATCCTAATTAAATATATGAAATGTAAAAAATATTTTTAAATTAATAAATACAGGTAAACATCTATATGGTGCTTACCATATACAAGTATTATTTTAAAACTTTTGTATGTATTAACTCATTTAATCCTCCTAACAACCCTACAAGGTAAGTGCTTTTAGTGTTAGTAATAGACATTTTATAGAAGAGGTTTCCAAAGCACAAGTAAATCTAGTAATTTGCATAAGGTTATAGAAAATTAGTAGAAGTAAGATTTGAACTCAGGTTGTCAGCTTTTACAGAGTTTTATTTTTTCGCTTTCTTTCTATTTATTTATTTGTTTATTTATTTTGTAGAGATGGAGTCTATGTTCCTACGTTGCCCAGGTTGGTCTCAAACCTCCTCTCACCTAGGCCTCCCAAAGCGCTGGGATTACAGGTGTCAGCCACCGTGCCTGGCCCTTAGTGTTCTTAAGCACCATAATCCAGTGCCTCTTTCTAAATCTAATGGATTTCTATAAGATATATAAAATATTTTATACTCATTCCTAAAATTGTATAAAAGTCAGCTTCTGCTACTTCTTAACTCTATGCTAAAGCTGAATAATCTCCAACTTGTATCCCATGTCTCTGAGTTTTAGCCTTTTGCAGGCAACACCCTGGTGTCTATCTTCACATGGATCTAATTCAGACATTTGAAAATATACACACTGTACAAAACATCACTCATCAATGCTACCCTGCTTGTGGGCCTGCTTGCTGTCCTAGATTCCCTGTATCTAGAAATGAATATATCTTTCTTCTAACCACCCAAAACAGAAAGTGGGAAGTTGCTTCCCTGACTTAGTCACCCAATCTGTCAAGAATAAAGAAGTCATTCTAGATGATCTACTTATTTTCCATACTAAACTCTGGAATTTCTCTCTATTACCCTTCTACCTAATTTAGATACAGATCATGAATTGGTGGGATTTCTGCAACAAATTCCTCACAATTAGACTTCATTTGATTCTAGTATTCATTTTTGTAATATGCTACCAGACTGTAAAAAAGTAATGTATTTTGTGTTCGACAGAACTGAGTTTAAATTTGATTCAAAAATGTCAAAATTATGGGGCCTTGGAAAGGCACCTAACCTTCCTTAATCTCTATATTTATCAGTAAAATGGGGAATTTTGATATCTACCAGGAAGAATGGTTTTGAGACGCAGTTCATGTGAGTAAATCATCTAGTCTGGTGTTTAACATATATTAGATACTTACAAAGTGGTACCTCAGGAACAGAAAACCAAACACCGCATGTTCTCACTCTTATATAAGTAGAAGTTGAACAACGAGAACATATGGGCACAGGGAGAGGAACATCACACACTGCTGACTGCCAGGGGGTGGGGGGCTCGGGGAGGGATAGCATTAGGAGAAATACCTAATGTAGATGACAGGTTGATAGGTGCAGCAAACCACCATGGCACGTGTATACCTAAGTAACAAACCTGCATATTCTGCACATGTGTCCCAGAACTTAAAGTGAAATAATAATAAAAAAGTGGTGACTACGTATTTTAGTTTGAAAAAGTCTAAAACTGTTACTCACTTACTTGAAGACTGTGCTTGGCATATTATGTATAGCAGGGTCAGCACTTTTTTTCTGTAAAGGCTACATGATACTTATTTTTGCCTTTGTGTACTACACACACTCTGTTGCAACTACTCAGCTCTGACAATGAAATGTGGGAACAGCCATAGATAACATTAAATAAATAATTTTGGCTGAGTTCCAATGCCTACTCACCAAATAATGGCAATAAGCCAGATTTGGCTCACTGTCTGAAGTTTGCACAGCCCTGAAGTATAGCACGAACTCTAAGTCTTTGGCTTCATGAGCCGTATTGGCTTCAGAGCCGTATTGTGATATATTTCATGTTTTTTTTTTCTAGCTTTCTCTGCCTTTTCTTCCTTTCTCACATTTTACATTCCAACAACATCAAAGTACTTATGGTTCTCGGCAACATTATTTGCTTAAGCCTCACGTGTCTGTTTATGCAATTCCTTCTATCTGAATCACCCGTCTGATCTCAGATTCAAGATCTGAATGTTTATACATTATGTATCAGCTCAGACTTCCTCTCACTCAAAAGGCCTTTTAGGCATCTTAGATACATGCACATATTTATGTTTCTATCTCCTTCATCAATAGGGAATGTATCATATTCATTTACCTACCTTTGGAACCTGATTCAATGAATACTTGTTGAGTTAAGCTGAACTTTCATGTTGTCAATTTTTATCCATTCTAAAAACATACACGTCACATTATTATAAATCAAAGAAACAATCTCGTCTGTCAAAATCCCACTGACATATTGGTATTTCTATTTCAGAAATAAAATTTGTTTTTCTTGTCAACTACTCAATTTGGGTATTATGTTTGCAGAGACTCCATGTCTCTCACTATCCTCTATTGTCCCAGCTCTACTGTCCATTACTCTATCCACCCTTGAAGACCCCATGTTTCACGGTCCACTGGGCCTGTGTGCCCTCTGCTTGTCATGCCTCATTTCATAACCTTTACCTCATCAGCTTCTCATCCTTCAACCCCTCAATTCAAATACCTCCTCCTTTAAAACCCTTACAATCATCACAGGTTGTAACTTCTTTTGTACTATGTATCATAATTTCACATTTATTTCTATAATTGTTTGTTTTAAAAACAAACTCTAAGCTCCATACAGAAAGGAATTTTTTAATTGGAATAATTTAGCTATAATTCCATTGTAGTAATATTATTTAAAGACTATTATTTCCTCTCTGATGCCAAAAATGAGCCTTAAATATATTTGTATTTTCTGTGCTGTGCACACAGGTACTGAAAACACACATGTACTCAGTTTTTAATGTTTTTCTTTGAAGACTACATTACTTTCAAAAATAGCTAGAAGTACATATTTACATCTTATTGCAGAAATGTTTCAACTGCTTGCTTATGTAATTTTTACAGCTTGAAAATTTTTTCTTCAAATTTTTATATGTACTTCCTGTTTTAGATTAACCTATTTAAATATTGCTTTCATTCTTCCACGCCCAATCACCAACTCTGTGAAGCTGTCTTGATTCCACAATCAGGATTTATTGGCTGTAACCCTTTCTCCCAGCTATTATAATTACAAACTTAAGTGTCCCACAAATGTGTACTATTCTAATGATATCAATAAATTTTTTGGAATAAAAATGAGTTTAGGGTATACTATAGTCAATCAAAATTGGTGTCATATCAGATTAAAGGATTCTCCTTTACTATAGGAACACTTAAAATACGCATTTGTTTTGTGAATTATGAAAAAAATGTTTTGCAAAATTATTTGACTATAAAAACATTTCACTGATGGAATAAAAGAAAAAATATTGAGGGATGCCAGAGAGAAAGAGGTCAGGTCATGAAAAAAGGGAAGCCCAACAGATTAACAGTGGACCTCTCAGTGGAAACCTTACAAACCAGAAGAGATTGAGGGCAAATATTCAATATTATTAAAGAAAAGAAATTTCAACCCTGAATATCATATCTTGCAAAACCAAGCTTTGTAAGTGAAGGAGAAATAAAGTCCTTTTTCACAAATGCTGCGGGAAACTGTCACCACCAGACCGGTGTTACAAGTGCTCCTAAGGAAGCACTAAACACGGAAAAGAAAAACCATTACCAGCCACTACAAAAACACACTGAAATACATAGAACAGTGACACTATGAAGCAACTACATAAACAAGTCTGTAAACTAGCCAGCTAGCATCATGATGACAGAATCAAATCCACACATAACAATAACCTTGAATGTAAATGGGCTAAATGCCCCAATTAAAAGACACAGAGTGGCACGTTGGATAAAGAACCACGAACCATTCATATGCTGTCTTCAAGAGACCTATCTCACATGCAAAGACACACATAGGCCGAAAATAAAGAGAAAGAGGAAAATTTACCAAGCAAATGGAAAACCTAAAAAAGCAGGGGTTGCAATTCTAGTTTCTGACAATACAGACACTAAACCAAGAAAGATCAGAAAAGACAAAGAAGGGCATTACAAATGGTAAAGGGTTCAATTCAACAAGAACTAACTATCCTAAATATATATGCACCCAATACAGGAGCACCCAGATTCATAAAGCAAATTATTAGAGACCTTCAAAGAGACTTAGACTCCCACACAATAATAGTGGGAGACTAACACACCACTGCCAATATCAGACAGATCATCGAGACAGAAAATTTACAAAACTATTCAGGACCTGAACTCAGCTCTGGATCAAGTGGATCCGACAGATATCTACAAACTCTGCACCCAAGAACAGAATATACATTCTTCTCATCACCACATGGCACTTACTAAAAAAACTGTTCACATATTCAGAAGTAAAAGACTCCTCAGAAAATGCAAAAGAACTGAAATCATAACAAACAGTTGCTTAGACCACAGTGCAATCAAATTAGAACTCAAGATTAAGAAATTCACTCAAAATTATACAACTACATGAAAATCAAACAACCTGCTCCTGAATGACTTTTGGGTAAATAACAATATTAAGGCACAAATCAGGAAGTTATTTGAAAATAATAAAAAACAAAGATACAATGCATCAGAAACTCTGGGACACAGCTACCACAGTGTTAAGAGGGAAATTTACTGCAATAAAAGCCCACATTAAAAAGCTAGAAAGATCTCAAGTTAACAACCTAACATCACAACTAAACAAACTAGAGAACCAAGAGCAAAGAAACCCCAAAGCTAGCAGAAGACAAGAAATAAAGATCAGAGCTGAGTTAAAGAAGACAGAGACATAAACACTCTTCAAAAAAACCAACAAATCCAGGTGCTGGTTTTTTTTTTGAAAAAATTAAGATAGACTGCAAGCTAGACTAATAAAGAAGAAGAGAAGATTCATATAAACACAATCAGAAACAATAATGGCCATATTACTACTGACCTCACAGAAATACCAAAAGTCATCAGAGACTATTATAAACACTTTTATGTAAGTAACAAGAAAATCTAGAAGAAAAGAATAAATTACTAGATACATACACCCTCCCAAGACTGGACAAGAAAGAAACTAAATCCCTGAGTAGACCAAAATGAGTTCTGAAATTAAGGTGGTAATAAATTGCCTACCAACCAAAAAAATCCCAAGACCAGACAGGCTGAGAGCTGAATTGTACCAGATGTACAAAAAAGAGTTGTTATCATTTCTACTGAAACTATTCCAAAAAAATTGAGAAGGAAGGAATCCTCCCTAACTCGTTCTATGAGGCCATCATCATCCTAATATCCAAACCTGGCAGAGACATAAAAGAATAAAATACCTATGAATACAGCTAACGAGGGATGTGAAGGACCTCTTCAAGGAGAACTACAAATGACTGCTTGCTCAGAGAAATTAGAGATGACACAAACAAGTAGAAAAACATTCCATGATCATAGATAGGAAGAATCAGTTTTTTTAAAATGGCCGAACTGACTAAAGCAATTTAGAGATTAAATGCTATTCTCATTAAACTGCCATGGACATTCTTCACAGAATTAGAAAAAGAGAAAACTATCTTAAAAATTATAAGGAACCAAGAAAGAGCCCGAATAGCCAGATAGCCATGGCAATCCTAAGCAAACAAAGAAACAAAACAAGAACAACAACAACAAAACAAAGCTGGAGGCATCATGTTACCCAACTTCAAACTATACTATAAGACTACAGTAACCAAAATAGCATGGTACTGGTGAAAGAACAGGCACATAGACCAATGGAACAGAATAGAGAACCCAAAACTAAAGCCACATACCAATAACCATCTGATCTTTGATGAACCAGGCAAAAACAAGCAATGGGGAAAGGATTCCCTACTTAATAAGTAGTGCTGGGAGAACTGGCTAGCCATATGCAGAAAATTGAAATTGGACCCCTTCCTTACACCATATACAAAAATTAACTCAAGATGAATTAAAGACTTAGATGTAAAACCCAAAACTATAAAAACCCTAGATGAAAACTAGGCAGTATCATTCAGGACATAGGCATGGGCAAAGATTTCATGACAAAGATGCCAAAAGCAATCTCAACAAAAGCAAAAATTGACAAATGGGATCTAATTAAACTAAAGATCTTCTGGACAGCAAAATAAACTATCAAACACAGTGATCAAACAACCTACAGAATGGGAGAAAAATTTTGCAATCTGTTCATCTGACAAAGGAGTAATATCCAGACTTTACAAGGAACTTAAAAAATCTACAAGAAAAAGCAAAGAACCCCATTGAAAAGTGGCCAAAGGACATGAAGAGACACCTCTCAAAACAAGACATACATGTGGCCAGGAAATATATGAAAAAAAGCCCAACAACACTGATAATTACAGAAATGCAAATCAAAACCACAATGAGATACCATCTCACACCAGTTAGAATGGTGATTATTAAAATGTCAAAAAAAAGTAACAGATGCTGCTGAGGTTGTGGAGAGAAAGGAATGCCTTTTTTTTTTTTTTTTTTTTTTCTTTTTTGAGGAGTCTCACTCTGTCGCCCAGGGTAGAGTGCAGTGGCGCGACCTCGGCTCACTGCAAGCTCCACCTCCCGGGTTCACGCTATTCTCCTGCCTCAGCCTCCCAAGCAGCTGGGACTACAGGCGCCCACCACCACGCCCAGCTAATTTTTTGTATTTTTAGTAGAGACGGGGTTTCACTGTGTTAGCCAGGATGGTCTCGATCTCCTGACCTTGTGATCTGCCCGCCTTGGCCTCCCTAAATGCTGGGATTACAGGCGTGAGCCACCACGCCCGGCCCTCAGGAATGCTTTTACCTTGTTGGCAGGAGTGTAAATTAGTTCAACCCATTGTGGAAGACAGTGTGGCGATTTCTCAGAAACCTAGAAGCAGAAATACCATTTGATCCAGCAATCCCACTACTGGGTATATTCCAAAAGTAATACAAATAGTACTATTATAAAGATGCATGCATGTGTGTATTCATTAGAGCACTATTCACAATAGAAAAGACGTGAAATAACCTAAATGCCCATCAATGACAGACAGGATAAAGAAAATATGGTACATATATACCATGGAATACTCTACAGCCATAAAAAGGAATGAGATCATGTTGTTTGCGGGGACATGGATTGAAATGTAGGCAATTATCCTTAGCAAACTAACCCAGGAACAGTAAACCAAATACTGCATGTTCTCACCTATAAGTGAATGCTAAATCATGAGAATACATTAACGTGTAGAGAGGGAAAACACACACTGGGGCCTGTCAGAGGGTGGCGGGGAGAAGGGAGAGCATCAAGAAGAATAGCTAATGAATGCTGGGATTAATACCTCGGTGATGGGATGACTGTGTAGCACCATGACACATGTTTACCTATGTAACAAAACCGCACATCCTGGAAATGTATTTCTGGACTTAAAAGATGAAGACAAAATAATAATAAAAAGTTAAAAAACACTGTGGAAAAAAAAATTTCCATCTTTCTACCTGTCACATAGAGTAGTTTACACGATTGACTCCTTACTTAGCATTAAACTCCTTGAAAGGAGGATTACACCAATTTACTTATCCCAACCTCACCTGTTGTAAGACTTTGTAAATAATTCATGTTCAAAATAACTTTGTGTTCTTTGGCTGACTTCAAGTAGTCCCTGAAGTGTGTTTTTTTGTTTGTTTGTCTTCTAAATAAATTTCTTGGCTGGGCATGATGGCTTCACACCTGTAATCCCAGCACTTTGGGAGACCGAGATGGGAAACTCACTTAAGGCTAAGAGTTCAAGACCGGCCTGGGCAACATAGCAAGATGCTGTCTGCATTTATTAAAACTAAATACATTTATTTCAGATTTTTTGTTTTGCTGATTTACTATATGACTACTCTGTTTCCTTTAACTCATCTGCGTTATTTGTAGATTCTTCAAGTAAGAAATAAATAACCAGGGTGAATATATCGCAAAGGGAATCCACTGCTGATTTATAAAACAAGTAGTTTACTAACCAATCAACATATTACTTAAATCCATCTTACAGCTCCTGGAAATCTGGAAAATAACTAATCAGAGGATTATTCAAAGCTGTAGTTCAGAATGCTGCTGACCAAGCATATGCTTCTAAATATTAAATATAGGCATGAGAATTGATGCAAAAAAAGACTGGGAATATAATTTGATTCCTATCATGTCACAGGACAGAACCAGCACCTGAATCTACTTTCACTTTTGTTGAAATACAATATGCTACATCAAGACATATTACCAAGACTTTTGCAAGTAACTGAATATATTTTAGGAGAAATGTACAGGTACATAAAGGCAGCAGAATCTTATGTTCCCTATAATCTGTGTCTCTAGTGGTATCAATTATCACTGAGCCACCTAAATGTAGTATTCATTTTCATAAAGCCTAAGGAAGAATACCATGAAGTAACTACTATGTAACTTGAGCAATTAGAATGAGCTACAGCCCATAAAGTATGGCTAAGTGAGCATTTTGAAAATTCAATGTGTGCCTTCTGGCCTTGACCTTTGAGAGGCACTGTAAGATAAGAACTGGGACAGTTAAAGTTGGGTAAGTAGCAAATTAACTATCTAGAAAATTACTTCAAAACATTTTTAAGAAGATTTTACATACAATGAGGCAAATTCAGTGGCTACTAAACTACTTTATGTTTACCCAGAATATTGTATTGTCAGACATCTAATTACTTAGTAAATTACAGTTCCAGTACACTGAGAGGTATTATATTGACCTTGTTAATATAATATTAAGCGTCTCTGTGGGTTGAGGGGTTCTTGGGTGCAATTTGCCAACTGGGCAGGTCAGTACATTCTTTTCTTTCGTTTCTGTTATAATACCCAACTAAATAACAGTGTACAAAACAACAATTGAAGAATTTGAATGGTAGATACGTAAGTACATTAACCTTCAAGTTCTTCTTGTATAAATAACTATGAGGATTCTAGAGCCTGAATAGAGCTCTTCACGTAGACTGACAGTGTCAGTATATCTACATCTCCTGAGTTAAGTGGTTTCTGAGAACTCAGTTTCTGTGAGAGTCTGAGCAGAAATAATTGGTGAGAAAGTTGTTCACCTTTGGGCAGAGAAAAAGCAGGCCAGCATTTGAGCTGTGGAGTGAGGATCCTGGGAAGAATTTGGCTGGCAAAATAAAGGTTCACATCTCAGGATACCAAGAAGGCTCTGAACCAATGAGCTGTGTCCTCTAGTTTTTGGAAATGGGAAACTGTATGATTCTAGAAGGAGACCAGCAGTCCACAAGCTCTCCATTACTGGCCACAGTGGGAAGACAGCCCACACTTTCTCTTTGCTTTTAGGTCTGTTGACACCTAAAGTCCCCGAAAATATACACCCGAAACCCAAAAAGCCAAGAAAATCACAATAATCTCTCTAAGCTTATATGCATTACAGTGAAAGCATATGTGAGAGATAAAAGTTCCGGAAAAAAAACTTTAAATAACGGCATTGCAAAAGCATTTGTGGGTTAGGAAAACATAATTAAATATTCTAATTAAAAAGTTATATGGTTGTTTTAAAAATGATGTTTGTTTGCTACTAACTTAAAAGAGCAAATTCAAGAACTGTATCAAAGAACTAATATAGAAAATAAAAGGAAGCAAAAAGAAACCGAAATTCTCTACCTAACCACAGAAAAAAATTCAAAATAAAAATAAACTTATTTTAGACAAAAAAAAGAAGATTCATCAACAGCAGTTCCATTAAAAATCCTAAAGAAATTTCTGTCAACAGAATAAAAATGACTCTAAATAAGCATTAGAGACGCAGGAAGGAATAGAGAGCAGTGGATAAATTGGTGGGTCAATCTATTCAAGTAATGACTGTATAAAACCATGTTAACAAAGCCATTTGCAGATTAAAAGATATATACATAATAAAATACATGGAAACAATGGCACATATATATATATACACAGGTGGAATGAATGGAAAAGTGTTCCAACATTTGTTTGAAATATGGTCACTGTACAAATTCTTTTTGTTCTTTCAAAGAGTCAAGGATGTATATTTTAAGCTCTTCAGGGTTATCTGTAAAAGAATAGTAAAGGCATATATGACTAATAAACTATGAAGTGGGAATAGAGGTAATTATTATTTAAAAAGAACTTCAATCCAAAATAATTTACATGAAGAAGGAAAAAAGGAGTATACAAGATACAAATAGTAAAACATAAAATGTAGATGATTTGAATCCAAGTATTTCAGTAGGAAATTAAACAGAAAATATATTAAAATGCAAGGACCGTCAGCCTTGAAAATGAAAACAACACACAAGAGAGGCATCAAAATATAACACAGCTTGAAAATCAAAGATGAAATTATTCACCATGTGAACACTGACCAAAGAAAGCTTGCTTATCTATGCTATCAGACAAGACTTCAAGTAAGCAAGATTACCAGAAATAGAGAGACCTTTTATTAGACAACTGTTAAACAAGAAGATAAAATAATTTTAAATTAGTGTTTATCAAATTATGTAATCTCAGAATATATAAAGCTGAAATTGACAAAAATAATAGATAAATTGACAACAACAGTGGAATATTTTTTACTTTCTCTCTTAATGGAAGAAGCAAATAGAAAGAAAATCAGAAGGGAAGATTTAAACAGCATATTTCAACAATATGACCTAAGTGACATATATGAAAGACTGTACTCAGCAACTATGGTACACATTATTTTCTAATTGTAATAGTAAACACATTATTTACTAAAATTTTCCATATTCTCGATAACAATAGATTAAAACAATGTATCTCTCTAAACAGAGTAAATCAAAGCCTTAAAGCAATAGAAAAAACATAGAAAGTAATCACTTGAAATTTGACAATGTATTTCTAAGTACCCACATGTTAAAGAAAAAATTATAATGAAAATGGAAAAAAATTGAAATTATGACAAAAATGTGAGAAAAATTTGTTAGATGCAGCTAAACTATACTTCAAAGAAAATTTATGTTTAAATACATACCTTAGAAAAAAGATTAAAAATCAACTCTCAAAAACATGTTTAAATTACAAAAATAATAAACTAAAAAATAAAAAATAAGAGCAGACATTAATACTATTGAAATCAATTACATAGAAAAGAGATCAATAAAGCAAAAATTTGTTTTTTCCAACAATTACTAAAATTTTTGAAGAATCACCAATGGAAAAAAAGAGAAAGAGAAGATATAAATTCATATCAAGAACCAAAATAGAATCATCAATATAGATCCCTCAGATATGAAATAACAGGAAAGGATATTAATAGTTTTATGACAAGACATACGAAAATTATTTGAAATGGACAAATTTCTAGAATAAAACACTAAGCTAACAAAAACAATAGATATTTAGCACCTATCCATGATGCAAAACTTAGGAATCTGGGAATGTAAAAGTTTTATCAATCTTATAAAAGGTGTGTGAAAAGAAACCAAGAACTAACATTAACAAAGATTCAGAAAGAGGAAAAGCGTATCTGCTATCAGCATTTTTATGCAATATTATAATGGCAGTTCTAGCCAGTGCAATAAGGCATGAATGAATGAATGAATGAATGCACACAAAGTAAGATTGGAAGAGAAGGATTTTAACTTTGTACAATTACATAATTACAGTTGTTAAGTGGACTTAGTATTATCATAATACATGTATTCAATAACCCATATTATTTTATATCTACATTCCAGAAATAAAACAAAAATGAGTTTTAAAAAGTATATATGGTATAGTGAAAATCACTGAATACCTAGAAAAAGGTTTCACAGAAGATGTGCTAGACTTTTCGATAGAAAACTATAAAGCATTATTGACTCACAGGCATAGTAGGTGAAATACCACATGATCTCATTTACATGCAGAATCTAAAGAAGTCAAACTCATAGAAACAGGGAGTGAAAGTGTGGTTACCAGACGGGGGTTGGGGCATGGGAATATGTTGAGTAGAGGAAACAAAATTTCACTTATGAGAAGTTAAGGTCAAGATATGTATTATACCTCATGATGACTACAGTTAATATACTGTATATTTGAAATTTGCTAGAAGAGTACAATTTAAGTATTGTTTCCGTCACCAAAAAAATAGTATGTGAGATACTACATATGTTAATTAGGTTGGTGTAGCCATTCCACAGTGTGTGTATAAACATGTATCAAAACATCACGTACACCATAAATATATAATTTTTAAAATTTCCAATTAGAAATAGATTTTTAAGAAAGCATTACTGACTACAGTAAGACAAATAATGTAAAAGAGAAATACACTATATACTAGGAGACTCATTATTTTAAAACAGTTATCTTCCAAATTCATATATAGACTCAATGTACTCCCAAACAAACCTCATTCTTTTTGTGTGTGAAAACTGGCAAACTTTTACAATTTTTATGAAAATGCAAATTACCCAGATCAGGCAAAATGATTTTGAAGAAGAACATTTTGGAAAGTGGCCAACCAAGTAAAAAGATTTATTATAAAGGCACAATAACCAAGGCAGTATGATATTGGCACAACGATATACAAATAAACCAATGGAACAAAATTAAAAATCTATAAATTTATTTTTGCATATATGTGCACTTAAAATGTGACAAAGAAGGCAATGAAACTTGGTGAGGAAAAGACAATCTTTTCAAGAAATAGTACTGGATTAGTTGCATATCCATATGGAAAACATAAAACTTAATTCCTACCTCAAATGATACATGATATGAGGTGGAGACTAGATGAAAAAGTGCAAGGTGGAACAGGAAAGTTTCCATAAAATAACACAGGGCAATATCTTTATGAGCTGCGGTGAAGGGAGATTTCTGAAACATGATAGAGAAGTACTAACAATAAAAAAATTGGATTCAATAAAATTAGAAACTTTTATTATCAAAATATACTACTGTAGAAGTAAAAATACTAGTCATGTAGTCATATAGATAATATTTACAATACATGAAATCAACCATGGAATTATATGTTAATAAATAACAAATACTTCCAGATCAATAAGACAATTCAACAGAATAAAAGGCAACACTATTGTTAGTGTTATTTTGTCTTTATATTTCCCTGCACCAACTGAAGTTTATGTTCTGTATGTGTGTGGTTGTATTTTTTAGTGCACAGATATCAGTAATGTTTTATGTAACTTATGAACT
This sequence comes from Homo sapiens, assembly GCF_000001405.40. Taxonomy (NCBI): domain Eukaryota; kingdom Metazoa; phylum Chordata; class Mammalia; order Primates; family Hominidae; genus Homo; species Homo sapiens. Next base: position 99,682,868 of record NC_000011.10, on the reverse strand, counting down.
GTGGCTATGAGCAACATGAAACAACACCGTTTGTCTCATCTAATGCTTTTGGCCTAAATTCTACTTCCTCTCATATTAGGTTTGTTGTCTTATTGTTTCCATTTGACTGATGTGTTTTTTCCATTCATTTAACTTTTTGGAATGACTGTATTTTAGATGGGTCTGGCATACAACATAGATTTTGGTTTTATGTGCCAATTTTAAAATCTTTTTATTGTAATAGGTGAGTTCAACCTATTACACAGAACGGATGTGTTTGGGTTTGGTGCTTTCATTTTTTGGTATACTTTCTGTTTGAATTATATTTTGTTTACTGTGTTTCTCAATGTATTGTCTCCTTTTAAAAAATTACTTTGGTATTTAGAAAAGTTTACAAGTTTGTTCTATGGATTATTTTTGTATTTATAGTTTATATAGTCCCCATTTCCCTAAAGCTGCTTCCTCCCACCCCTGCCTCATATTTTTAGCATTGTACTAACTGGCTTTCATTTTTAGTAGTATTCTTTGACTCACCTATGACGTACCCCACAATTAATATCTTTCTATTTTCACTTATCTCTCTTCTCTTTTCATTTTACACTTGAATACTTTATTTTGCCAGAATGTATAAAACTTACATATTGTTCACCCACTCATATCCTCACCCCTTTTAAGTCATATTTCAAGAAATAAATATATTAATGCTAATCATCAATTCCCTTACTGAAGTTTCACCAGGACATTTTATTTAGATGAAACTCATTATATGATAGATTATTCATAAACAATTTGTGTATATAATGTTCCTTGGTTCTTGCATATTCTTTTTCTGTACACTTGATTCTTGAAGAAAATTTTTTGCCTAGACCTAAAATGCTTGGCTTACCCTTTTTTGTGTTTCCTGAAATTCCACTCCATTAACTCCTTGCTTTGTGAGTTATTCCTGAGAAGTCTACAGCCAGTCTAATTTTCTCACTGTTATAATTTAATCTCTTTTCCTAGAGGATTCTAAGGATATTTTTAAATTATCTTTAAAATTTAATAGTTTCACTAAGATATGTTTTGGAGTTAATCGTTTCAGGTAAACTACAGAAGTGTAGTTTTTCAATATATAGATCTAAGGGATCATTTCTAGAAAGCTTTATTAAATTATAAATGAACATAATTATAGGTGTACCTGGGAATTATTGTGGGTTTAGTTCTAGACAACTGCAATGAAGTGTATATTGCAATACAGCCACAAAAATTTTTTGGCATCCAGTGCTTATAAAATTCATGTTTACACTTTACTTTAGTCCACTAAGCATACAGTAGCATTCATCTAAAAAATGTAAATACCTTAATTAAAAAATACTTCATTGTTAAAAAATGCTATCATCTAAGCCTTCCACAAATGGTCATCTTTTGCTGCTGGTGGGCCTTGCCTCGATGTGGACAGCTACTGACTGATCAGGTTCACGGTTGCTGAACAACGCAGTGGCTGCGGCAATTTCTCAGAATAAGACAACAGTGAAGTTTGCGACATGTTTGTCTCTTCCTTTCACAAAAAAATTCTTAGTAGTGTAGAATGCTATGCTGTTTGATAGCATTTTACTCACTGTAAGGCATCTTTCAGAATTGGAATCAATCTTTCAAACACTACCACTGCTTTATTAACTAAATTTATATAATATTATAAAGACTTTGTAGTGGTTTCATCCATGTTCACAGCATCTTCACCAGGAGTAGATTCCATTTCAAGGAACTGCATTCTTTCTCACCAATAATAAGCAACTCTTCATCCGTTCAAGTTTTATCATGAGATTGTAGCAATTCAGTCACATCCTCAGACTCCACTTCTAATTCTAGTTCTTGATATTTTTACATCTTCAGTTACTTCTTCCACTGAAGTCACTCATAATGATTGAAATCAACTTCTAAACTCTTGTTAATGTTGCTATTTTGACCTCCTTCCATGAATCTTGAATGTTCTTAATGGCATCTAGAGTGGTGAATCCTTATCAAAAGGTTTTTAATTTACTTTGCATAAGAACATCAGCAGAATCACAGGCTATGGATCAAGGAGTAATTTTGATTTTGAAGTTTTATTAAGAAATATGTTGCATAAGACTATAGCTGCCATACAGCTACAGCCGGTGATTCTTCTAATATTCCTGGGCAAAGTAAGGTAAAAACCTTCTGATAAGGATTCACCACTCTAGATGCCATTAAGAACATTCAAGATTCATGGAATGGATGTTGTGTAATAGGCATGAAAATAGAATTCATCACCTTGTGCATCTCCATCAGAGCCTTTGGGTAACCAGGGATGCTGTCAATGAGCCGTCATGTTTTGAAATGAGTCTTTTTTTCTGAGCATTAAATCTCGACAGTGGGCTTAAAATATTCAGTAAACCATGCTATAAACAGATGTGCTGTCATCCACACTTTGTAATTTCATTTACAGAGCAGAGGAAGAATAGATTTAGCCTAACTTTTAAGAGGTCCAGGATTTTGGAATGGTATATGAGCACTGGCTTCAATTTACAATCATCAGGTGCATTACAACTTAACAATACAGGTTGAAAGTCAACCTGGGCCTTGAAGCTTTGAAGCCAGGCATCGATTTCTCCTCTCTAGCTATTAAAGTCCCAGATGGCATCTTCTTCTAGTAAAAGGCTGTTTCATCTATATTGAAAATTTGTTTTTTCAGATAGTTTTGTCCATGATCTTAGATAGATGTCCCAGATAACTTGCTACAGTTTCTACATCAGCACTTTCTGCTTCATCTTTCATTTTTGTGTTTTGAAGATGGCTTTTTTCTTTAAACCTTATGAATCAACTTTTGCTAGGTACTAAGCTTCATCTTCCTCATCTCTCTCAGGATTCAAAGAATTGAAGAGAATTAGGATTAAGCTTTAGCTTAAGGGAATGTCGTAGCTGGTTTCATCTTCTCTCCAGACCACTCAAACTGTCTCTACATCAGGAATGCAGCTGTTTCACTTTCTTATTATTTGTATGTTCACTGGAGTAGCACTTTTAATTTTCCTCAAAAGCATTTCCTTTGCACTCACAGCCTGGCTAAGGTTTGATGCAAGAGGCCTAGCTTTCAGGTTATCTTGGCTTTCGCCATGCCCGCCTAAGTGTAATCATTTCTAGCTTTTGATTTAATGTGAGAGAAGTGTAACTGTTTCTTTCAATTTGAACACTTAGAGGCCACGGTAGGGTTCTTAACTGACCTAATTTCAATAGTGTTGTCTCTTAGGGAATAAGGAAGGCCAAGGACAGGGAGAGGGACAGGAAAAAGTGGCCTGCAGTGGAGCAGTCAGAACACATGCAGTGTTCAGCAATTTTTACAGTCTTATATGGGTGCAGTCTGTGGCAACTCAAAAAAATTACAATAGTAACATCAAAGATCCCTGATCAAAGATCTCCTTAAGAGACATAATATTAATAATAAAGTTTGGAATATTGTGAGAATTACCAAAATGTGATATAAAGGTAGAGTGAACACATGCTGTTTGAAAATGGTACTGGTAAGCTTGTTTGTGGCAGGGTTATCACAACCTTCAATTTGTAAAGCACAAGGTATCTCCACAGTATAATAAAGCAGAGTGCGATAAAATGAGGCTTGTCTCTAGTTTTAATTTCACCCTTTTTAAGGAACATATATTCTTACTATGTACATATAATCTCTTTATATATATATATATTCCCTATATATAAAATATTTATATATATTCCCTATATAGAGGTTATATGTACTTATATATATTTCCTATAAGTATATACATATATATATTTCCTATATATGTGTGTATATGTATTTCCTATATATAGAAGACATATATAAGTATATATAAAATGCATATATTTTATATATATATTTAAAAGAAATATATAAATAAATATGTATATTTATGGAATTTTATATATATATATAGAGAGAGAGAGAGTGAATAGCAGATACAATAAAAAATGTGGTCAAAGAGACAGTGGTTGGAATGGAATACAAAAAAAGGTTATATATCTTAATTTCTCTTGGTTGTTTATATGCCTTTAATTACTTTAACATTTTATTTGTATTCTTCTCATGTGGACACCTAGTAATTTATTTCTTTACTGTAGTTGGCGCTGTGCCACCATGCCACAGAACTCTGTGCATTAATTTACCTCTTTCTAAAAGGACTTTATCCTTTTACAGATAACTTTCTCTATACTCTAAACTTTTCACTATCCTCTCCCATTTTTCATGGATTCTCTTTCCCTTCCCTCCCACACTCACAGGTTTTGCAGTGGCCATTGGAGCTCTGGTCAAAGCACTGATGTGATTTTGTGTGTAATTTTCTGTTTAGAGTTAATTTGAAATTCATGGCATTTTCTTTCTCGTATAAGTGCTGACTTTCTTGATTACATATGTTTCCCGTTCGCATTCCTTCCTGGATGTCTGGGGAAAATAATTAGTGGAGAGATTTAGATTCATGTGTCCATCATCCAGGAATAAGTATTTTTTAAACATATGTTGCAATGATTGTTTTGTGTAGCCATATATTTGAATCATATATATATATTAGAGTATATAATCCTTCTTTGTAACATTTTTTGCCTAGTGGTTTTAGCTTATGTTTTAACTTCTCTTTTCTTTTATAAAAAACTTACTTGCTACTTAACCAGGTAGTTAAGTTCTTTTGTAGAAAAGCAATATTCAGAAATTCGCTGAATATTGAGGGAACCACTTTAAAATACTTTTATAATGTGTGTGTGTAGTGATATAACTTATTCAACAATTATTTACATAATTTGTACTTATTTTGTGAGAGTCAAATGTACCCAAATAATAGAAATAAAAACATATAAGTATCAAAAATCATAAAGACAAAGGGCTGTGAGTGTATGAAGCAGAAATAAAGTGCTTCAGTAGAAGCATAATAGTTGGAAATCTGATTTTTTCGAGAGTACCAAGGAGAATCCATGTTTTACCAATAAAAAGGGCAAAAGCGGTAATGAAAAGGTGTTTGGTATGTTTAGAAAACAGTAAGCTTTTGGTAATTGCGAGGTCATGAGGTTGATGATAAATGGATTTTTGAAAAAAGTCAACAGACACATAAAAATCAGTACGAAAATGTTTACACATAGGTACATACACGTATTTATACTGTAATCACCAACCCATCCCATTTCTGGAAAAAGAAGGATGTAGAATAAAATAAACAGTTTTGAACAACGAGGAAAACCTATTTTTAAGAAATGTAATCTAGATTTTTAATGTGGACTTTGAAATCTTTTTGTTTAGTGGAACTAGTGAATAATAGCTTCAGAGTGAGAAGACAAAAACACAGTTAAGTTATTCTTATTGCAAAAGTAACTAGATCAGCATGAGACTGCATGTTGCCATATGTGCCCCAAAATATCAAGGTCATGTATTAACTAAGAGATAAATGCTGTAAACTTGACCGGCTGGTTCAGAAATCAACATCCTCAAACTGCTCATGTGGTAGAAAATGTTCCATTGTTAGTTACATTCTTGTCCTTTGGATCAGAAGGACAAGGACAAACATTATCTCAGATGGCTATAATAAAAACAGCTCCCATGAACATGTAAAGGCATTCACCATTGGTAGCTTTTAGGTCTCTGAGATAAGTTAAACAGAGAAGATAATTAGAGAAAACAAGATACATTATTTTCTCCTGTCTGAGCGACGGCCAATAAAACATAATTCATTTTGGAATTCAATAAGCAAATTTTTGCCTAGTACTTCTGGTGGATTAGTATCAATTATTGTTGTGTAACATCAGAAAACATACTTTTATCTCACAAAAATCTTATTTTGCTGAGATTTAGAACGTTTTTATTTTAAAAATAGTTATTGAGTAGGAGATAGAAATATAACAACATTTTTAGCTTGATAATGAGTTTGAGTTTCTAAAAGTGTAGTCAAACATGTCATATACATATTTTAATAACCTAGCAACACCCTTGCATGTTAGGGGAAAGCTTTAAGCAGTGTGATTAGCATACAAGAAGATCCGAGGGCCTTAAGATTTTATATACTGCAGAATTCCTTAATTTATCACACTTTTATTTCAGTAATAAATTTTCCTTTGTAATGATTTGTGTTTCATACTTTGTTGTATAGATTTATTTTTCCACAGTGGCAAGTTAAAGAACTTACTAATTTTTTTTTAATTATACTTTAAGTTCTAGGGTATATGGGCACAACGTGCAGGTTTGTTACATATGTTTTTCTTAAGTTCTTTTTTCTTAACGACTACCAAATTATGAAACGAAAATCCATTGTTTCTGCAAAGTAATGCAGATTCAAAGTCTGCAGTATATAAAATTTTATAGGCAGAAGCCCTTGAAATTTTATTGCAGCAGGCTTTTCACATGTGCCAGAACACCATGCAGTGACTGCAGAGGCCTGGTGAGGGGCCTATGAGAAAGAAATGTATTTCTTGGAAAAATCCCATAATGTGACAAAAAGCATGTAGTCTATTTATTTCTGTGTTAGTTTTAGCTTTTTATCACCAGGTGGCTTCTGAATTTTTACCTTCTCTATTGCTCCACTGTGATACTTAATGTTTTCGTTTTTATGTTGTAGTCTATGGTATTGATGTAATTAACAATAACTAGCCAATTAATTCAACAATCATATATTAAATCTTTAAGATATTCTGAGCACCAGTGGTGCAGGGCTGAGTAAAACAGAGTAATAAGAACTCATGGTCTAGCATGAAAATTATGTAATAAAATCAATAATTATAAATCACAATATGAATAGCAAGTAATAATTAACTATTTATTACATGTTGGACACTTCATAGTTTTACATATTATCCCATTCGAAAATTACAACATCGCTGGAAGGCAGAAATGAGACAAGAGTGGCATCTACAAACACTCTCAGAGTTCTGAGATGATGGTAGTGAAAATCATAATATCTATAGAGAATTTTGTATTTTTCAAAGTATTTTCTCACATATTATCTAATATTACACAGCTCTAGAGAGTAACAAGTCAGATACAATTGTTTCCTTTTTGCAAGGAAATGAAATGATATACTAAGGTAACACAACTACTTGTTGACAGAGTCACAATTTAGTACCCATATAACAACTGCAGGGGCTATGTGCCTTCTCTCGTTTTCCTCCCATTAATATAAAACACTTGAATTTTAAAGAATTTCCATTTAGATTTATCTGTTTCTATTTTAATTTTTTATTTGAGACAGAGTTTTGCTCTGTCGACAGGCTGGAGGGCAGTGGGGCACAATCTCAGCTCACTGCAACCTCCACCTCCCAGGTTAAAGCAACTCTCCTACCTCAGCCTCCCAAGTGGCTGGGATTACAGGTGCCCACCACCATGCCCAGCTAATATCTTTTATATTTTAGCAGAAACAGGGTTTCACCATGTTGCCCAGGCTGGTCTCGAACTGCCGAGCTCAGGCAATCTGCCCTCCTCGGCCTCCCAAAGTGCTAGGATTACAGGTGTGAGCCACCGCACCCAGCCTGCATTTTTTTACTCTTTTACCAAAATCTATCTATAACCTTAGGATAACACTGGGCCCCTCCCACAGATGACTTCTTTAGTGCTGGGATTTAAAAATTCTCAGAAATCTACAAAAATCCATTCCCTCACCCAGTACTGATGGGCGAGATTTCAACTTGGAGTTATGGGTTTACTCTCTATTAAAGTGACTATCCTACTAGATTGTACTCATTTAGCACTAGTTAGTCAATAATTATTCAGAGAAATTTAGGACATGAAGCAATGTTTACTCCAACAATTAGTTAGTAGGATGAACAATAGAGTGATTTGCTCTGAGCAAAGGACACTGAAGAGGCATCCCTAGTGTCAGCCTGAAACAAAACAAAACAAAACAAAACAAAACAAAACCAGAAAAATGCCTCCTAATATAATGAATTTATTTGGGAATAATCAAGAAGGATCATAATCCAGTATGCACATCCATGGCAAGCCACAGATCTACCCAAAGATGGAAGGGTAAGAGAAAGCTCAGAGCAAGGGCAAAAAGGGGAAGTTTATATAAGCTTCTTGGAAACAGAATTCATTGGTTTCAGAGGTTCAAAGCTAAGGTTGCTGTCAATTCACTGGAGAAGATGGTGTTATTAGGCAAGTGTTCTTTAGAAAGCATCTTATCTGAATTGCTGCAGTCCTAAAGAAGGGATTTTTTGTGGGGTTATTTTAGAAAAGCCTCGAGACAATCCTTGTCTCAGACATGTAAGCATGAGTTCCTCTACTTTGTGCTTTTTCAGCTGCAATTCGTTTGGGTCTGACAAGAGTGATTGCATCCTGGTATTTGCAGCTTTCACAAAGGCAACCAGAGGTTCTGTGTGAAGAGTTAGTAGATCTTGGGAGCAGGGCAAACATGGGGAGTGACAAGCAACCAACAAAATAAAAAACAAACAGAAGAAATGCCCACATAGATCTAACTAAAGCAAAGAGCTTCTTCAAAGCAAAAGAAACTATCAACAGAGTGAACAGGCAACCTACATAACGGGAGAAAAATTTTGCAAACTTCTCATCTGACAAAGGTCTAAAATCGAGCATCTATAAGGAACCTAAACATGTTTACAAGAAAAAAAAACCATCAAAAGGTGGGCCAAGGGCTTAAACAATTGCTTCTCAAAAGAAGGCATATATGCAGCCAGCAATCACAGGAAAAAAATGCTCAATATCACTGATGATTAGAGAAATGCAAATCAAAACCACAATGAGATGCCATCTCACATCAGTTAGAATGGCTATGCTTAAGAAGTCAAAAAATAACAGATGCTGACAAAGTTGTGGAGAAAAAGGAATGCTTGTACACTGTTGGTGTGAGTGTAAATTAGTTCAACCATTGTGGAAAACAGTGTGGGGATTCCTCAAAGACCTAAAGACAGAAATACCATTTGACCCAGCAAGCCCATTATTGGATATATACCCAAAGGAATATAAATTGTTCTATTATAATATAAAAACACATGATTGCATATGTCCATTGCAGCACTATTCACAATAGCAAAGACAGGGAATCAACCTAAATGCTCATCAATGATAGACTGACTTTTTCAAAATGTGATGCATATACAACATGGAATGCTATGCAGCTATGAAAAAGGATGAGATCTTTTTTTTTTTTCTGCAGGGACACAGGTGGAGCTGGAAGCCTTTATCCTTAGCAAACTACCACAGGAAGAGAAAACCAAATATGGCATGTTCTCACTTATAAGTGGGAGATAAATGATGAGAACACATGGACATATAGAGGGGAACAACACACACTGGGGCTTAGAGGAGAGTGGATGGTGGGAGGAGGGAGAGGATGAGCAAAAATAACTAGTGGATACAAGGCTTAATACCTGGGTGATGAAAGAATCTGTGCAACAAACCCCCATGTCACACTTTACCTATGTAACAAACCTTCATATCCTGCACACATATCCCTGAACTTAAAAAAGGAGAAATGCCCATATATCAGACACTGTTCTTGATGCTTTACAGAAGTCATTGAATCCGTACCATGACTCTGTATAATCATTCTTATTATCTTTATTTTACAAAGGACTGTAAGATTGGTAGTGCATCTAGCCATCTGGCTATAAGTCTGTGCTTCCTATCAAAATGCTATGATGCCCATAAAATTAGACTTTAATGTTTTTCAATTTTGACACAGCTGTCTGTCGAAAGCTTGTCAAATGTCCATCCTCTCTCTGAGATCTGTAACTGGAGTTACAGCTACAAGCATAGCATGGTATTGAGTTGGGTCTTTTCTAATATTCTAAAACTGCAGCTAAACTTATAAGCTGAGGATCAAGAATTTCAAGTGTGTCACATTCTATATTCAGGGAACCACTCCCAGCTGGGGTCAATGGCCATTCTGTAAGGCTCCCTGAGTAGCCTAACCTAAGAGAATGTGTCCCACCATGAAACACCAACTCCCTGAGCCCTCTCCTACTACCATCTATGAGGTACCTATGAAAGACTACAAGAGGAACTCTTAAATTTCCCTTCCACTTTTTTTCTTTTCCATCTTCTTTCCTTTCCACCTGCCCTTTCTGTTTTTGGAATTGTTTCTCCTCCCCATAGCCAAGAAAACAGGTCTAAAGAAAGAATGGTAACTACTGGACAAGTCTAAAAGCAGCAGCTAGAATGTAATTTTTAAAATGAAGGTTATTAAGTCAAAGGGCTTGATAACACTTCCCAGTGATACTACTGGAAAGAGAGAGAGAAAATTGGAGAGAGTTGACACAGAGGCAGGTGATCTAGTTGCCAGGGTCCAGGAATATTCTTCTGGAATTCTCAGTTCCTAATAGAAATGTGATTCTGGACACATCCTCTTGCTCGTGCAGAGTATGACATTGTAAGTAAGAATTTGCTTGGACAGCTTCTGTTTGGGGTGCATATCAGAGAAGTAAGCCTTGCAGCCACCCTCTGGGGGCCAAATCTCTAAGGGGATTGCTAAAGCTCATAGGAGAAGCCTACCAGAACTCCATCATCACACTATAGCCAGCACCTATCTACAGTGAGCCCACATGCAAGACAATCATCTAGATCAGCAAGTCAAGCCTACTAAGAAAAAAACTATAGGACGTGGTGGCAACACTGGTACTTTCCTTCTGCTTCCTTTCTTCCCTAATACCAGAGGAGGTAGCACTCATTAAGAGAGCAAAAGGAAAAAAGTTTGAGTGAAGTGCAAACCACAGACAGCTGTCATGGGCAGTTTTGATGGGGCAGAGTAGGGTTTTCGAAGAGGGTGAAATTACAATTTTAAAATAAACTGAACTGAATCATAAGAATACGAAAGAGGCTGTTAGATAAGAAAAAAGTGACAAGAAATTACACAATCTGGTCATGTCATTTTGGATACCGCTGATTAGCAGGAAAGGAGATGATGACACAGCACATTTGGAGAATGATTACAAGGAAAGTAACATTTTTCACACGCACACCTGCAACGATTGAAAGTCCTCAGCAAACCAGGTGTGTGTGTTTATGTGAGTGTGTGAATTATTATGTATGCGTGCGCACACAGGTATAGTATTTCTTTAACTTGGAGAGGGTGTATTATACCTCTAAACTTAAAATTTATTTTCTACTCGAATATATTACTATTACCAATAAGCATCTGAATTTCTCAGAAGTAATTTTTATTTTTATTCAAAAAATGTAATAGATTAATTCTGAAGAATTTTGTGGGACACTTCAGAGATAGAACAAAAGCTAAGTAATACATATTTTCAGCAAGACACTTTCCTGACAGCATTTTTTATGTTTCCAAAAAATTCGATAATGTGCCTCAGCCCTTCAAAGTTATTTTTCTTACTTGTTTAGACGTTACTTTAAAAATCTTTATTAACTCCTGTCTTCATGTATCAGGTGAACTTGGAAATTTTGAAAACATTTGCTATTTGCATGTGTTTCACTCTCATACACACACACGCACACATGCACACAAATTCACCAGCAGTTTACCCAACCGTATATTCATACACTTAGAGTGCTTATGTATGTTCACATTGTTTTTCAATAAGTTAAACATCTGCTATTAATAAAATCACTAATTATTCTTTTTGTCGTAAATATTATGATCTCATACATTTCAGGCACTGTACTGGGCAGTGGCAATATCATAACGACCAAGATAAACGCAATCTCTGTGTTTACAAGTTTAGAATTTGTTAGGAAAGGCAGCTAAGTAAAAATGTGCCTTGCCATACAGTATGAGAAGTAGAGGTAACACATAAAAAAAAAAAAACTCAATCTACATGGGAAGCCAAGAGAGAGAGAGCAAGAGCGAGCGAGCGAGCGAGAGAACTCACAAGAAAGCGAGAGAGAGCACGTGCAAGCGCAAGCACACGTGAATGATATTTAAAATGAGAGCTAAAGAAACCATTTAAAAAGTTAGAACTAGCCTGGGGAGTGTCAAACAGTGGTCCAGAATAAGGGAAACAACAGTATCGATAATTACATAGTGCCTACTATATGCCAGGCAGGATTCTACCCACTTTACATGCATAAACTATCAAGTAGGCACTGCTTAATTACCACTTCAGAGACGAGGAAACAGTAACACAGAGAGTTCAAAATGCGTCCAAGCAGCACAGTTAGTTGGCAGCATGGATAAGATGCAAACCTATGGTGAATGTCCAGGGACCGTGCTTTTTACCAGTTTGCAGGGCCATTTGGTCCCCCCACACCCCAGATCTTCAGAATAAAGTATGTGATACATTTGTGGGATCTCCTCTACTCGGTCTGGCTGTAGTAGAGAAAATGGTGAACATCACTGGGACTGTAGAGTTAGGCAAAGCCTAAATCAGGAAGGATGTTAGATACTAGTGAGGTGGTTTTTCCCATGCAGCCACTCAATCATTTTATGCAGAGTAAGTATATGTGTCTTCAGTCTAATCCCCTGGCTGCAGTGTGAATGTCAGATTAGGTGAGTGATAGGCTGGTGTTGAGACACCAGTTAAGAGGACTTTGCAATAATCAAGGTGAGAAATGTTGACAGCCTAAACCGGAGATGCAGATAAATGGATGACTCCTAGTTTTTCAAGGAGACAAAAGGGTCATAATTCTTCAATGGGGATTTCTTTAAATAGCCTAATATAAATTAAAAACCTGCAGTCATCACTCAGTTGTAGCAACCTCAGTTATGTTATCTACCTTATGCTGTTGGGTTACACTTGAATTTGCAATAGGGTGACTTCATAACCTAAGAATACTTCCTATTAATTTAATACATAAATAGTGGGGAGTGGGATGGGAGAACATGTTTAATGGTATTTCCCTTAGAAGATTTTTTAAACTGACAAGTAGAATAATAAGAACCAAAGACATTAATAAAATTCTATTTAAAGAGTCTAATTTTCACCAACATGGCACATAAAACAATGCATCTATCCTCACAGGGATGAATTTAAGAGAATAAATGTCTCCTTAAATATTTAAAGCAGTTTATAGACTTTAGTTGTCAAACTCCCAAAACCCTCATTGGATTTTGGCAACTGAATATTTCATTATTGCTTATGATAGATGCATTAAATACACAGACAGGGTGTTGAATGAGAAAATGTCATTCCCTATGGCACTAATTTCTAGGAGTAGCTTAAATACTTGGCTTAGGGACAAACCTTCATTAAAGAAGTAGATCAGAATCACGGAATTCTAGAACTGGGTAAGATAAGAGAGACCAGATATTCCAGTAGAGCTAAATCATAAAAGTGTGGTAGGATTCGTTGTAGGTCTTTACTAACAATAATGTATTGCTGTCACAATTGTTTGCTCTAGAAAAATATATCAAACAGGGAAATAGTGTAATCCTAACACTTTTACTCACTTTCCTACATACATTTCCTTGCCCCATGGAAGTCTCTCATGCTCATGAATATTATCTAGCATAAAAATATATGTGTATATATGTATACACATATACACACACACACACACACACACACACACACACCATATTTAATAGCTGGAAAAGGTAGTCAAGAACTGCTCATCTAGGCTTTCCTATTTAGTTTGAAATGAGAAATAGCCAGGTTACTCGAAGTTGCATAAGTAGACTACAATAATTTAGATGGCAATGAAGGTTTAAAATTAATTTTCTGATCTCCATTTCAGGACTCAATCTTTTATAGCTTTTCTCATCTTAAGATTCATTCAAGTCTTATTTTCGTTGATTATAGCATAAGTAAAAACCTCCATATGTCTACCTTCACTGACCAATAAGACATTTTCAAGCCATGGCACACTATTATAATAAAATTATAAATGTAGAGGTTGGCAGAACTGAAGATGCTCTGCAAAACTAGACAAAGTAAGAGTATAAATCATGTTTAAAAGAAAGCACAAATATCCACGCGTGCATCAATTTTCACAAGAAATAGAAAATACATATTTCAAAATTGTAGTCTTGTGGTGATAGAAAATCAGCTTTTCCCCCCAGTTGGAGCATTTTAAAGTTGATATTGAGCCATGCAACACAAAATGAGGTGAGAAAACTTACTTCAGTCTGTGTTTTCGTCCTTAACAATGCCAACTCATAAGATAATAAATAGTTATTCCTCAACTTCCCGAGTAGCTAGGACCACAGGCACATGCCCCCACACCCGGCTAATTTTATTTCTGTAGTTTTTGTAGAGTTCAAGTTCCACTATGTGGCCCAGGCTAGTTTTGAATTTCTCAACTCAAGCGATCTGCGCACCTCGGCCTCCCAAAGTGCTAGGATTACAGGCATGAGCCACTGCTCCCAGACAGATAATGGTTATATGAAAACCGTCTGAGAGTATAATAAATGTGGTAGCGATAACTAGTAGTATAATGTTTTTTTCTGGTTCAAATCCCACCTGAAGCATGGCAGGAAACAAAGCTTCTTCCACATTTCCTGGTTTTAGTACCACCCTTGAGTTTCTTAAGCTGTGGTCCTTTCACAGCTGTTCACAAAGATTACCGTTCCCATGGGCGCTGGTCAGCACTTCTTCCCTTATGATAGACAAGAAGGATACGAGAATCACCACTCCAGGACTGACATCCACTGAGTCCCTCTTTGCTGCTGTCTGAATCAGACCACACAGCAAGAGGTAAGTGATCAATTAGCCCTCTGTTCAGCGTGAGGCATCATAGAATAGAATGTATTCTTCTTGCACAGCTACCTTGGTACTCTGGGGTGTGGACACTGCCTAGTTGTGTCCTACTAGCAGTCCCTTTACCTCCCCCTTTTCTTTATGCCAAGCTTGGCAACTTTATCTGAAGTGGCAATAACATTCAACTAGAAATGACAAGTATACTATGTGAATCCTGCGTGTGGCAGTATTCAGTTTCAGTGAGAAAGATGTTGGTTATACAGTAGGATCTGTTGTTGCTATCATACTGGATATTCATAATTTTTACATTAAGCAATATCAGAGAAATTATAATTACAACTTCCAAAGCCAGGATTTTTTTTTTCTTTTGCTTTAAGTTTCAGGATACATGTGCAGAATGTGCAGGTTTGTTACATAGGTATATGGGTGCCATGGTGGTTTGTTACACAGATATACCTGTGCCATGGTGGTTTGCTACACCTATTGACCCATCCTCTAAGTTCCTTCCCCTCACTCGCCACCCGCTAACAAGCCCTGGTGTGTGTTGTTCCCTCCCTGTGCCCATGTGTTCTCATTGTTCAGCTCCCACTTATGAGTGAGAACATGTGGTGTTTGGTTTTCTGTTCCTGTGTTAGTTTGCCGAGGATGATGGCTTCCAGCTTCATCCATGACATAGCAAAAGACATGATCTCATTCCTTTTTATGAGTGCATGGTATTACACGTATTTTAATAGCTTTGAAATTTATCGATTTCAATTTACATTTATTGAGTACTCACTATGGGTCAAACACCATGCTTCTTTACCAGGGGTACAATAAACAGAGCCAAAATTTTATTTAACTTGTATATACAACTTTACTATCAACATTAGCCATTGAGGTGTAAAAATAAAGAAGCAATTTGTATTAAAAGTCAATTTCCACATAATCACGTCTTATAAATGCCATTTACTTTTATTATACATAACTCAGGAAGGTGAGTTTTAGTAAACAGCTGAAAAGCTATTTACAAAATTTATTAATTGCTTTAGAATGAAAACAAAACAAAATGCTTGTAAGCAATTACAGAGAAAAGAGAGGTACACATGGTAAAATATTTAAAATAAAGTTCATACAATTAAAAATATTATCATACCACTGACCTTTGGTTTAAAAAAACAACTATGATTCAAGGATAAAATATGTTAAATCCATAAAATAATACAACATAATTTCTAGAGAATTTGGCTTTTTCTACTACTCTAAATGTGTCACATCCTAATAGCATCACAAAATTTAATTATGATACTAATAATTATTCTAATTATTATTAAAGCATTATAATTCTATTATTAGAATTACTTGGCACTCATTCAAAGAGATATAAACATATCAATTAAAAACCATGTATTTTTCAAAAAATAAAACTGAACTAATTATAAAAAATAAAGATTCCTGTAACGGATTTTAATCTTAATACCCTGGAGAACCTTAATGTTAATCACATTCAGAATTTGTTTTTTCAGCTCTCCCTTCTGACTGGAGCTGAGGCTAAGATAGGAAAAAAAAGTCCACTTCCCAGTCATGCCCTGGTTTCTGCTGCTTTTGTCTTCACACTGTATCTTTAGTTTTATGCAGCAGTCCAAGGCTTGTAATTCTTCTGATGACACATCCATGCCATTGCGGCTGTCTCCGAACTCCACCAAAGAGCATGGAGACTCTGTAAGACTGTTTCGGAGCTTGTCAACATCCTTCTCTCTGTGCTATTGTGGTAGCATGAATTTTGTGAAGCATGATGCCTTTTAATCTACTCTTGGTTTCCCAGACATAAAAAGGACCTAGTATGTTTCCCTTTGCAGAAGCAATAGGAAAGCAAAGGAAGCAATGTACAGCTCAGGATCCAAACCAACCTCGGAGAAAGTCTCTTTGCTCATTTCTAACAGTCTCCAGCCTACTCTCCAGCTAAAAAGTCAAGAAGAGACCAAACCCATTGGTTCTTCCCCATTGCATCTCCAATTCACTTTCTGTTGTAGACTGGGAAAATAACTTTTTAAGTTAAAAGTTAAGAATTTGACTGGCCGCAGTGGCTCATGCCTATAATCCAAGCACTTCGGGAGGCACAGGCAGGCGGATCACCTGAGGTCAGGAGTTCGAGGCTAGCCTGGCCAACATGGTGAAGCCCTGTCACCACTAAAAATACAAAAATCAGCCGGGCGTGGTGACACATACCTATAATTCTAGCTAATGGGGAGGCTGAGGCAGCAGGAGAACTGCTTGAACCTGGGAGGTGGAGATTGCAGTGAGCCAAGATCACGCCACTGCCCTCCAGGCTGGGCAACAAAGCAGGACACTCTGTCTCAAAAAAACAAAAACAAAAACAAAAAAAAACAGTTAACAATTTGATAATTGTGCTCTTCTTCTAAGGTGAGGTTTTTACTCCCAACCACCATATAGGAGAATGATTAGAAAACAATCATTTTTAAAGAACAAAAAGAAAAATCCACTAGCATTTTGTTTTATATTGTGTTTTGTTACAAGATACATCGTACTCTAGGCCAGGCGCGGTGGCTCACACCTGTAATCTCAGCACTCTGGGAGACCAAGGCAGACTGATCACTTGAGGTCACAAATTGGAGATCAGCCTGGCCAACATTGTGCAACCCCGGCTCTACTAAAAATACAAAAATTAGCCGGGCAAGTTGCTGGGCACCTGTAAACCCAGCCACTTGGGAGGCTGAGACAGGGAGAATTGCTTGAACCCAGGAGGTGGAGGTTGCAGTGAGCCAAGATCACGCCATTGCACTCCAGCCTGAGCAACAGAGCAAGGCTCTGTCTCAAAAAAAAAAAAAAAAAAAAAAAAATTGTAGTTTCAATGCTCCCGTAATAAAATCAAAATTTGTGTTTGAAGATTCAATTATTCCTATAGTATCATTAATGTGTATTTTTTTCACATGTCTTGCCTTGCTCTCTGGTTACGTTTCTCCTCCTCCACGATTACTACTCTTCAAAAATGCCCAGACATTTTCCTTAAATATGTAGATGCTCTCTAACTTTCTTAACTCCAGGTCACATCAAAATTGTTCAGTTTTGAATTTCACATATTTCTTTTGCTAGAATACAGTAAGGCAAGTTATGCAAATTAGCATCTGCTGCTGTGTTAACTTCCCAATTAATACATAGTTTCTTGATTTGAAAATAAAAGTTTTCTTCCTATTATTCACATTTTTACACTTCTGAAAATGAAATCCTTCTTATAGCGAACTATATATTCAATGAAGTATCACTTCAAGGTTTATTTTCTAAACATAATTACATATTCTTATTCAATTATTGTGTATCTTGGAATTGAGGACAGAATATGAGTCTGTCCTGATAAAGCAGCTTTAGTGCTACCAGGAAAAAGATTCTGTGTTAGACACAACATTTGGCATTCCACATTATACCATATTAGCTAAATTAGCATGTGCACATTTTTTCTATTAAAGAATAAATTAAAAATTAATAAGGTACCCTGGAAGATCCATGTGGTCATAAATTTCAGTAGTAATAAATATTTCTTCAAATTATATAAATGGAAAAAATGTGGCATCTCTGAGTTATTTTAAGTTATAATACATTTGGGCATTGACTAAATATAAATTCCTCAACTTGTAATCAGCATAATAGTTCCAGTGATCCAACAAAGTATTTGTTCCTTAAGCAGCCATACTTATTCTTCAAATTAATCTAATATTAGAGAAAATTATAATTCTAATGTAATAAAATGTTATAGCAAAACGATGGCTATAGCGAAAAATGCCATTGATATCCTGTATTTCTAGAACAAGAATTACTGAAAATGTTGTTACTGAGAACTGAAAACTCTGGTCCAGGTTTTCCTTGCACCCTTGCCCCTAAAGCACGGCCTTTTCTGGATCCTGGAGATCTCTCTACTCTACTGGTGGGGAAAGAAAATCACCACAACCTACAACTTGTATAAATTCAAGCTGGATACCCGGCACAGTGGGGATGCAGTTTTAGTGAGTGTGGTTGTTACTGGACCACTGAGTGGGAACTCGGGCAGCACAATCATATGTAAACAATAATGCAATTATTAAGTGTAGCTGGAATGTCATCATGTCTTCATAAAGATTTTGAAAACTCCTGGAGCCATTTGTACAAAGCATGTCTTCCCACATCCAAAGAATATAATGAACACAGTGATAGAGTACAAACTGAAAGACATAAGGCTCAGTCTTAATAGACTTTATAACTTACAAATTAAGCCATGGTCTCTACCCGCGCCGTTCCAATACTGTAGACACTAGCCATGTATTGAGCATTTGAAACGTGGCTAGTCTGACCTTAAGATATACACAACAGAGTTTGAACAATAAGTACAATAAATGTAAAATTCCCCATTAATAATTTTTGATTGCTATTAAAAGGACAATACTTTGATTGTGTTGGCCTAAATGTATCATTGTCCCTTCTCACGCTGCTATAAAGATACTACCTGAGACTGGGTAAGTATAAAGAAAAGAGGTTTAATTGACTCACACTTTTGCATGCCCAGGAAGGCCTCAGGAAACTTAGAATCATGGCAGAAGGGGAAGCAGGCACGTCTTACACGGTGGCAATTGAGAGAAAGAGCAAAGAGCAAAGGGGTAAGAGCTCGTTATAGAACCATCAGATCTTGTGAAAACTATCAGGAGAACAGCATGGGGGAAACCACCCTAATCCAATCACCTCCCTCTCTCCCTTGGCATGTGTGGATTACAATTCAAGATGAGGTTCGGATGGGGACACAAAGTCAAACCATATCAACCATATACCATTAAATTCATTTAACGTGTCTTTTTGTTTCTTTTTTGTTTTGTTTCATTGTTTTTTGAGACGGAGTCTCGCTCTGTTACCCAGGATGGAGTGCAGTGGCACCATCTTGGCCCACTACAACCTCTGTCTCCCAGGTTCAAGGGATTCTTCTGCTTCAGCCTCCCAAGTAGCTGGGATTATAGGCACCCATGAACACGCTCAGCTATTTTTTGTATTTTTAGTACAGACAAGGTTTCACCATGTTGGCCAGGCTGGTCTCGAACTCCTGACCTCAGGATCTGCCAGCCCTCGGCCTCCCAAAGTGCTGGGATTACAGGCATGAGCCACTGCACTCTGCCTATTTCTTTTCTTAATGCAAGTCTTAAAATATTTAAATTTGTCTATAGAGTTAACATTGCAGCTTTCTATCAGACTATTGTCTGTAAGACCATCTTACTTACTGTCTTTTGCACTGCTAGAAGATGACTCAAAGTACTACTCATGTGAACTAATGAGTTTCTTACATAATACAACTTAGCTGGTGTTTTGTTTTATAAAATATTTTGTTAAATGTTCTATTGTATATTCAGTGTTCATTTAATCAAAAATCAGGAAACAACATTTCTACTTAAGAGAGTTTTTGTCCTCTAGAGCAGAGCTTCTCAAATTATAATGTACATGCATCTGAGGAGCTTTTTAAAAATGCAGTTACTAAATCAGTTGCTCTGGATGGCGTCTGAGATTCTTTATTTCTAAAAAGTACTGCCCTGGTGATGCTGCTGCTGTTGCTGCTCTGGGACTACATTGCAAGTTGTAAATTTCCAGATCACAGCAGTGTTCAAATGTACTTGAGCTCCTAAAATTAGAATATAATGATGCTAAATACACACACTGAAGTATTTTAGCTTATATGTTAAAGGTTTATTACTGTCATTATTACATCAGATTCTTAATCTATTCCTTTAAAAATTTTGAAGATAAATACGTGTTTATTATAACACCGCAAAGAGAAAATGTGAAGAAAATGAGCATAATCTATCATCACTTCAGAAATTGATAACCATTGTTACGTTTTAAATGTATTTCTGTATACTACTTTTATCTAGCTTGTTTTAATGAAATTTCGATAACATTATCCATGCTGTTTTACATTTCTTAAATCTTATGTTGGATACAGTCATTTCTCAATATGATTGTCTACACAGTGCTTAATGGATGTCGATTATTGTAGCATATGGGATATACCAAATATTCCTAATCAATCCCCCCTTATTAGTCACTTGCACTGCTGCTAATTTTATGTCATTATTAACAATGTTGTGAAAAACAACTTTGTTTCCTATTTCTTTGAAATATTCTCAGTACTTAGTAAAAGTTTAAACACTTTTAAGTATATAGTTCAGAAGGGCAAACCCCGTTAGTAGAAAATTATTAAAAAATGTTTATGTAAATTCAGATTTTTCACCTACAATTTGAACTAGATATTGAAAAACTTGGATAATTCCTATAGACTTGTAGGTATTACTTGTCATCCTGAATATAGAAAAAAACCATGTAAACACAATCAATTTGCTCTATTGCTCTCATGATAGTCTGTCTATATGTATGATATTTTATTACTGAGTTTTCTCTTGCTTCTACATAAATTGAAAATACGTATGCTCTTCAAGTAAGTCTTCTAACATTTAAGTATTGTATCGTGGAGTACCTGTACCTAGTTTTTGAAGCAATTTCTAAATACCTCTGAAACCTATGTGTTCCAATCTCAACTAATCACTTAATAACTGGGGTTATTTTAATAATCTTTGATACATTTATATTAGATTTTTTAAAGTTACTATATGTGTATATGTATATATGTGTGTATGATGTGAACGCAAACAAATGCATATGCATTAGTCCATTCTCACACTGCTGGATACCCGGCATAGTGGGGACACAGTTTTGGTGATAGTGGTTGTTATGCAAACAAATGCATGCACATCGTACACACATATATGCATATACACATATAGTAACTTTAAAAGAAAATCTAATATATAATAAATGGATCTAAGATTATTAAAATAACCCATTATTAAGTGATTGCTTATTCTTGACAAATATGAATTGTAATAACTCTGTACACAGGCACTTTATACTAATTAGTGATAACTTCAAGGAAGTTTGAAATTAACAAGGTCCCTCTGTAAGACACTTCGCTAAGTTCTTATTTTAATTTCATTACTGCTTTGCAGCAAAGATATGTATCAGAAAATATAGTTTAAACTTTTCTATTATTCAGTCTAGGAGAATTTTCTGTGCTGTAGATGAGCACATATAAATGTTGTTATCAGACCTAATTTAAGTATCATCCCAACCATTTGTGTGCTTGACCTTTCTGATCTTGATCCTTTATCAGCTGAGGTTAATACTACCCATATTATAGGATTATGAGAATACAATCTAAGACACTTAAATGGTTTAGAATTGAGCTGGACATATAATGAACATCAATCTATCCTGACTAAAATATCAATATTTTCATATAATTATTTTCATTTTTTGCCAAGGAAGAATACAAGAATAATCAATGTATTTTCCCAGATGCTAGTAAAGTGATTTTCAACCCTCCTGTTTGGCAGTGAAATTAATTATCTAAATAAAATCTTATATAGTATATTAATATAGAAAACTTTACCAAGGAACTAAGGTCTACCCATTGAAATGTAGAGAAGAAAAAAACAACTATTAACTAAGAGTTTCTATTCACTGAGATTCTCTTACCACTGTAACTACTACTGAGGCGGCTGCATAGAATTTGGATTCTAAAGAATAAATATGTTACATTGGAACAATTATTTACACAGCTCCTCTAGCGTAAGAACCATCTTTATCCCATTATTTTCTTTATTTCAAACAAGTCATGCTGGCTCTACCAAAAATACATAAATCCTTAATCCATTTCTTTCTTTCCATGATCCCCTGTTACTACCCTAATTCAGGCAGTCATCACCTACTATTTAGGCTATAAAAATAATTTGTCAGTTTTATAACAGGTTTATTGAGGTGTAAATGGCATATAATAAAACTGCACATATTTAAGTTGCATAATTTTCTGAGTTTTGACATATAGATACACCTGTGAAACCATCACCACAATATAGAGGATGAACATATTCATCAACCCTAAAACTTTCCTCAGGCCAATTTGTAATCTTCCTTGGCCCCACTTCACAAAATCATTAGGCAACCAACATTTTGCTTTCTGTCACTATAAATTAGCTTGTACTTTCTAAGGTTTACATACATATAAGCAAACAGAATGAATTAAATAATTTTTTTCACTTATGAAGATTATTTTGAGATCCAAGAATTCTTTGAGTAACACAAGGTCACCTAGATTTTCTTGTATTTTTTCATCCAGAACTTTATAGATTCAGGTTTTATATATAGCTATATAATATATTATGGGTGAAATTTTCTATATAAAATGAAGGATGGATCAATGTTCATATTTCTGCATACTGGTAACCAATTTGTTCCAGTAAAATTTGTTGAAAAGATTATCTTTCCTCTGCTCAGTTGCCTTTGCACCTTTCTAAAAGGTCAGCTGCCCACATGTGTGGCTCATAATTTTCTTGTTTCAATCAATAACAGCAAAGTTAAATAATTACTAGATTTGGTTAAGATAATTTTACACGCCAACTTGGCTAATCCATGGTACCCACAAATTTGGTCAAATATGTCATTACATTTCTCTGAAGGTATCTTTTAGAAGAGATTAACATTAGGATCCATAGACTTTGACTGAAGCAGATTATTCTCCATAATGATTGGGTGGGTCTCCTCCAGTCTATGAGGGCCTTAAGATAAAAAAGACTGAGGTTTCCAGAGGAAGGGAGAATTCTACTTCCAGACTGCCTTTGGGCTTGAGCTGCAACATCAACTTTTCCCTAGGTCTCTAGCCTGCCAGCCTACTCCACAGATTTTGGACTTACCAGCTCCTAGAATCCTCTGAGCCAATTCCTTATAATAAATCTGTCTATATACATATACACACCCAATTTGTTCTGTTTTTCTGAAGAACTAAGACTAGTATATTGATACGCAGTGTATTTATATTAATTAAAACACGGTTTACAGTTACCAAAACCTAAAACAAACTAGCTTAAACATAAAATTTGTTATGTTTACTTATATATCTTATGGTATCCAAAGATAGAAAACCTGCTCTCAGGAACAACTAGAGCCTGGAATACAAATGCCATTGGATCTCTCCACATCTTATGATTCTCTTCCTTTCATAATTTTTTTCCCTTTTTCTTTTATTACTCATTCAGAAAGTCTGACTTTCTCTGCTTCTCAGAGGTCCTCACCTAACAGGATATGGCTGCTGCCAGCTTGGTATTTACAACTTTTATTTTAAAGAGTAAATGATCATGTATCTTTCATTCCCAACCCTCCAAAGCCCATGAGTAAGTGTCTTTGACCAGCTTGGGTGAGGTGCCCATCTCCAAGTAAATCAACTGTGGCAGGGGTTGGAGGCACAATATAAAATGATGTTTGTGCTGCAGCCCTGTAAATGTTGTGTAGGAGATTGATCCTAAAGGAAGAGGGTTCTAGACAGGGCAATGGCACTCATTATATTTTTCTTTTTCTTTTTTTTTTTTTTTTTGAGACAGAGTTTCACTCCTGTTGCCCAGTCTGGAGTGCAATGGTGCCATCTTGGCCCACTGCATCCTCCACCTCCTGGGTTCAAGCAATTCTCCTGCCTCAGCCTCCCTAGTAGCTGGGATTACAGGCATGTGCCACCGCGCCTGGCTAATTTTATATATATATATATATTTTTTTTTTAGTAGAGACAGAATTTCACTATGTTTGTCAGGCTGTTCTCAAACCCCTGACCTCAGGTGATCCACCTGTCTCAGCCTCCCAAAGTGCTGGGATTACAGGCATGAGCCTCTGCGCTAGGCCCACTGGTTACATTTATTTTCGGAAGCAGTAAATAAGCTAACTGTCTAAATTCCTAATTGTTAAATGTGATGCAAGAGTAAATATTTACTATATACTCTGTAGATTGGAGAGCTTGCTGAAATTATCAGACATTGCCTGAGATATTAAGAAAAAACTGGAATATAAAATTTTAGTTCTAATTTTATATTCTCCAGACAGCCTACACGAAGCATTTCTCCTTTCAAATCAGACTTTTAGCTCTGACTCTATTCACTTGTTCTGAATTAGAGGGGATTTGATTTCATTTTGTATTATCAATTATTTAAAAGTTTTGCAGTAGATAATGAACAGAATCATATACTCTAAACACCCTGCATAAATTGGCACACTAGCTGTTATCCACTTACCTTGCTCTGCTTTTCAGATTACTTGTTGCAACCTGAGTAATTTTTTTTTGTTTTGCTTTTGTGTTTGCACACTCTTGTTTTAGAATGTAAACTCCACAAGAGGTGTTTTGTTCACAGCTACATCCTAGCACCTAAAAAGGTGTTTGATACAACTTAAAGATTCATAAATATTTAAATTAATAAAATATAAATTTTAAGAACTTATATTTAAACTTTGTTTTAAAAGCATATAATTGCATTTACAAACATAGTATCCATTAGAGTGGGCCTCAGTGGTGAAAGAAGGCCAATTTACAGGGTTAGTGCTTTTATAATAAATTCTGAATGGGTCTAGTAATCTTAACACATCTCATCCTTCAAAATCAATGATCTAGCACTCACATTTACAAATTTTCCTTGAATTTTTTATGTTCTCCTGCTCAATGTGTCAAATGTGACATAACAGATGTAGTCACTGAATGATCAAACAGATGTTTCATTTGTGTTACCATTCATTATAATACGTCATAATTGACAGCAGGACTATGCAACTTGTCAAGTACCTAAAAACTACTCAGGTCTCTTTTTAAAAGACTCAGGTTTTTAAAAAAACAAACAAAAGCGAAACCTTCCTATGAAACACACAAAAATGTTTAAAATATTTTTTTAAATAAATTGTCATTACTGGGTAGTAATAATCAGTTGAGTGAATCCCTTTTGCAGGTTACAGTGATATACAAGGAATTTGTGTCACCGTGTACAGCAATCAAGGATACCATGGAGACTGTTTCAAGAGTATTAGGCAGCCCTGCCCAATGTGTACTTCCGGTCCTTAGACCATATGGAATTGGATATGGAAACCCCCAAACCCCCAAATTCCCAAAATAGATGCAGGTATATTTATTTTATACATTTGTTGTACTATTCTATATATCCATTATGTGCTTTTTGTGATGTTGATGTTTTTCAAACACTTCTGGAAAGACTTTCCCTTTAACATGCCGAGCTCCAGTAAGGTGCTAAGTAGATGGTTAGGAATGTTTTTTGTAATTTACAACAGTTCAGTGAGGCTTTCTGTATAGATTTTGTTGGAGGTTTGCGATTTTTTCATTAAGCTATCTGTACTTAGATTTATTTTTTTTCTCTTTTTTTTTTTTCTTATTTTTTGTTGGGCACTGGGACAGAGGGAACTCTTCTCTTTTGAACTTTGACATTTTTTCCAGGCAACATACTTTTTGGTCCACAAACTTAACTATGCAAGAAACACATTTTTTTTTTTCAAAATGTCTGGGTTAAATTAGATACTGAACTCCTGTACTTCTACAGGGGTTTTCTACAGACAATTTTCTAAAGAAATACGTTCTGGTGGGTATTTTGGAGGCCCTGAACAGAGTCAGAGAGGCTTATAAGCTGCCTGATAATGAAAGGAAGGGCCTTTGCTATCCAGTCCACTGTGGTCATTTGCTGATCTCCTGTTTTCCTGGTGTTTTGCAGCCTTGTTGCTCTTGGCTTCCAGTCTTCCATGTCTCTAGTGGAGTGCAGGCATCTTTGCTGAGACTGGCATCTCTGGGCAAATGTGCCAGCTTCCTGGGTACCTTGCACAACTGTCACCTCTAAGATTTTATCAGCCCACTCTTAAGGTCCATTAACTAGTGCATGGGTCCAGGACAGTCTAGAAACTTACTAAACTATCTTTCTTCCATTTTCCAGAAATTTTGCCCTTCTCAAGTGTTGCCTTAAAGGGCAGGCATTTAGCTTTCTTTCCTCTTACGCCTGGCGCTTTGCATCATCATTTCTATGAACTTAAGTTTTTGGACAGGAGAAAGCTTTGTTTTCCAACAGTTTCTACTTTGTGATCTGGAAAATTTCCTGAGGGAAAAAAAATATGAAAGGTCTAGCTATCTCTTTGAAATTAAGAAGGTGGAGGGAGAAAGAGTAGCAATAAAATGCAAATTAATATGCCAAAAGCTTATTAGGACACACTTGTTTTAATCTATCTCTTTTTCATACCTTACAATTCATTTTTAAATGAAGAGGTTAAAGAGGTAGGATGTAAAGACAGGAATTAATTTATCTATGACTGCAAATAAATTTGTGGGCTTTTAATACTCCATTTAGCTCTTCAGAGGCTCCACAATAACACACACACTTACACATATGTACACACACTTATACCTATATACACACATACACACATACCTGTATTCAGAGGTGCTACAATACAGAAACACATATATATACACACATGCATATATGTGTATATATATGTGTGTATATACACGTGTGTGTATATATTTGTATTTTATGCGTGTATTATTGTGGAGCCTCTGAATAGCTAAATGGAATATTAAAAGTTCACACATTTATTTGGAGTCATGGATAAATTTATTCCTGTCTTTACATCCTACCTCTTTATTCTACTACTACCTCATTACCTATGTGTGTATGTGTGTGATATGTGTGTGCGTATATACATCTATGTGTGTGTATAGGTGTATGTATGTATATAAAATGGATAAAGCAGCAATGGAATTTATTATACAGAAACTGGATAAATAAAGACTGATGCTTCTATTTTCAGTATTCCGTGTTCAAAGCCAAATTAATCCCACAGTCCCCAAGATCAGTTCAAGGGAGTAATTTACTGACACTGCAACTGTTTGCTTCCAAAGAGATTCTGACCTTTATGAAAAGACTATGGACCTAGGACCTTGAGGGGACAGACAACTAGCCTGAAGGAAGCATGCAAGAGATTTTTCTGAAGAAGTCTCCCAGTCTGCATATCTAACTTTTAAGCTATAGAACTGGAATTGTCCTCATGCAGTTGACAAGAATCGTTTGCCAAGTTCTGGACAGAAATATAATCATAACTTAGTATTAGTCAGGCTGTACTTTGGACCACTTCTTCTTGCCGAGAGTCTTGTAGCACTAGATACTGTTCACATCCACATTGTTCCTATAGATAGGATTTCTGACATTAGGCTTGTAAGACTGTTTAATAATTGATTTGATACTCATTGTCCCTTCAGACAGGACCTCTGACATTAGAATCACAAGGATTTTACTTAAGGACCACTTAAGATTTTTTGAAGACCCCAAATTCTACCTACCAGTTTGAAGACCCCCACAGAGGAATGGGATCTGCATGAGAATACAGCTTCTTCATCTCCCTGGCCCATGACTTCACGCAGCACTCTTCCACCAATCAGAGATCTTCACACTGCAGCCCATTCCAAAACCCTTATAAACTCTAAACCCATATAAGTTGAGATAGAGTTGATGTGTCCTCCCATCTCCTCATTCAGGGACACTAAGATTAAACCTTTTTTTCTGCTGCAACCTAGTTTCTCAACACACTGACTTGCTGTGTACATCAGGCAACAAATCTATTATGTTTACAAAACTTTTATTTAAGGTCTACTAAAAAAGACTTGGGATTTTTACACAATACATCTTCTAAGATTTGTTTAATTGATTTAATTTGTTTTAGTCTAAACGAGCATTATAGAAAATGCAATTAATGTTCAGACCTTTTAAGCACTTAAGGGACATCATTTTAGGCAGGCAATTGCTTACATAATAAGCAATTTAATTTAACAACAACTCAGGTCTTCATTCTTTCTCACCCAACTCAGTAACTTCACCAGTAGATGTAGATCAGAAAATCTGATTTGATTGAAACCTACATCATTTTTAATGTGATTTCTGAAGGACCATTTCATATCCATTGGTCCCATACTACCCCCTGTTCCACAGCCATCCTCTCTTGCCTCTTTTGCATTATCAGAACCTCCAAATTGAACTCCACCTTTGCCTAATCCCATCCACGCTAAACCTCTAAGAATGCCAATGGCCTATTTAAGAAGCTGATACACCCCTTAGCAAGCTCCTTCCATAGGAAGAGGAGGCTACCAATCTCAAAATTCTAACACTGTTTAGATTTGGCCTACCATATATTTTAGCTCCATAAATTAAACAATTCTAATACACACAGCTACTGTGGACATCTGCTATTTTAATTTGAAAAACTTAAAAGCTATGTTCAGGCAGTGCTGTTTGAAAACATACCTAGTAATCACTCAAAATTCAAGCAAAGACTCAGTTCTGATAAATTTCCTTTTGTGCTTTCACTGCTTGTTTGCATTCTAATAAAATATTTATCATCACTGAAGGGTAAAAATATTCATTAACGGCTTTTTTGATTTTGTTTTGTACTTAAACAACTTGATGGATTTTTTTTTTAATAGAAATAACAGCAGTTGAACTGCCTTGACTGACTGCTTTGGCAGTATTTAGACAAAGAGGGATATATCATTTTAACTTACAGTTTAGAAGCTGCCTAACAATCCATTGTAGAAATCATTAAAAAAAATTCTATAAAATTACTCTGTTCATTATGAAGAAGCGAATATCCTCAATTAAATTCTCAAACCTGACTATAGCAAAGATCTGATGAGAAATCCATGCTCTCCTAGGAGCTCATTTAATTAACTCAAGCATTGCTTTCAAAGTGCAAGTTATAGTGCTGCTTGTAAATTCACATATATTACATGTAAATTATAAGACATTTCAAAGGAGAGGGACTTTGGTGACAGACCAATTTACATTTCTTTCTTGCCTATAAGCATTTTCCCCCCTCACATTTTACATTTAGTATTGATAGACACGGATTGAGGACTTCCGTTTTCCTAGCTATTGTCACCAAGATACACACTTTCTTTAAATATGGTAATTCTTCAATAAATAGAACTACTTACTGATTTAAGGTTGAAATCTGAGACGGGGGAGCTATGAACATGTAAAATTTTTATTAGTTGACTCAAATCTGGATGGATAAATTGGCTGTTAAGTGAAACAGGTTTTGCCCCAAGAGCCAGATACTGTGCTTATGGGGAAAAAGATGAGATAAACAAGCTTATAAAAAAATGTCTTGCCCTAAATGTACCATGCATTTTGGGAAAATGAAAGAGACAATTCTTTGTACTACAGTTTAGTAGTACAAATCCAATCTGTCTATGAGTTCACTCATTTAGTAACTTGAACAAATTAGTAAAATAAATATTTTCCCTTACCTTGTATTTAATATGGATCTCCCTGTCATTATTGCCCTATTTTTCAAAGTTGTCACCAATAAAATTGAAACCAGTGAATTCAGATTTGATGTATAAACAATTGTTTTTTCTTTGTCTTTCCTCATCCTTATCCTTTTGAAGGTCATTTAAATCAGCAAATGTTGAGCTTACCCCAAGGTTTATATATTCTTGAAATAAACCCTTTCTCAATGAACTCCTTTTTAAAGAACTTTAATAAATTTGGCCCAAAATTTCTTATCTGAAACCCTTGGGGGCAGATGTGTTTCAGGGTTAGAGATTGTTTAGACTTTAGAAAGGTACTACTTTGCTGCACATATTCAGTATATTACTGAACACCTTCAGTGAGTTGTTTAATAACACACAAAATAATGATTATATAATAGTGTATACATAATGTACTTCATTCTGAAGCATGTTAGTATTTCGACTGCAAACTTAAATAGTTGTACAAAATGGACTAAGTTATATAAATTATGTGTAAGTTCTGATCAAAATTTTTCACCAAATAAGTTAGACAAGGTTTTGATTTTCAGAGCTTTCAAAATTTATAATTGGGATAGTGACTACAGCCTTGTAAGATTCAAATAAATCACTCTGGTTGACAGGATCGTGAGATGTACTTCGTAATACCGCTTTCCGGTGGACACAGCTCTTATAAAGCGTTCCTTTTAAATGTTGGGAGAACCTCTGAATCATATAGAACAGTCACTCTCTTGATTAGGTTACTTTATATGACAAAGATGATGGTATAGATAGTATAGATGATGGTGTCATTATTTTATGTTATGTAAGATGCTATTATAACCAACTGAAGATAGATTGCCCTGCTGGCACTGAAGAAGTAAGCAGTCATGTTGTGAGAGGGGGCTATATGACTAAGGCCTGAGGACAGCTTCTAGGAGGTGAAAGTCACTCTGGCTGACAGGTAGCAAGACAATGAAGACTTCAGTCTTAACCTCAGTAAACTGAATTCTTCCAACAACCTAAATCACCTTGGAAGACCTTCAGATGAGAGATAAGACTGCAGCCCCAGACAACATCTTGATTTTAGTCTTGTGAGATGCTCAACAGAGGAGATCCTTAATCCACGCTGGAGATTCTGAACCACAGAAACTTTGAGATAATGCATTTGTGGTGTTTGTGCTGCCAAGTTTGTGGCAACGTGTTATGCAGCAGTAGAAAACTAATGTAGTCAGTAAATTTCATTCCTTTCTAACGCAGAACTTTTTTTTCAAATCTTTATATGAAATCTTATCCATTTTCTGTAATTCTTATTCAGTTATTGTCTCAGTCATATGGGTAAGTAAAAAACAAAAGGATATCTTGAGATGAGGATTTTTAATTTTATAGTTGATTTTCATGTTAAAGAAAGTTTACATATAATCCTGAGGCCGTTGATAGGGTTAAAAAGTAAGTGCTGATAAAAGCATATTAGGGAAGTGACTTGATTTTAATTTATATAACACTTCATTTTATTTTAACTAGATGGGTTTTTTAAACCAGTCTGTTCTCCTAGATGAAACACAGATTTGATAAAAATAAAACAAAATATTTTACAATTTGGAGTATGATTCATGAAAGTCTAATAGCTAAAACACTTTATATCTGTCACTTCGATTCTTACTAGGGGCATGAAGAGAGCTTGTTCAATGATATTACATTTAAATGTGCTTTGGATCAAATTGCCTACCCACAGATTAGAATTTCTATCATTTTCTAGGATGAATTGCTTTTAGGGAAGATATTGTTCCTTTAGAATTTTTTTTTAACCTTTTCTCATCTGCTTATATTTTAACTTCTTTCCCCTTTCTGCACTCTCCAATTGCCACATGCAATAAACATTTAATAGAATGATCTAAGATACTATGTTATCAATTTTACTAAATTTTTGATGATTGTTTGTGGGATTTCTGTTTTAACATAACTGTTTCCCTTTTTCAAATTTCAGGCTACATGAGCTGTGATATATGTCCTCAAATTATTCACCTGTATCTTGCATTTTATGCTAAGCAACTTTCCTTTTCTAAAAAGGACAGAGTCCCATCTTGATTGTGCATGTTAAATAACAAATAACTTCTAAGTTGGAGCATATATTGAGAATAAATTAGAAACGATGAGACAATTTCTCTTATTCTTCTCATTTAACATCTTTTCTGAAGGTAGAAACTTGGTTTCTTTAAATCCTTAAGTGGAAAGACATAGATAAGAACATTATTGAACTGTGTTTTGGGCCTAATTGCCCAAATTGCTAAATATTTGAGATTACAGATACAATATATAATAATTAGGGCATTTAGCTTATGTATCAAAGCATCACCATGTACCCCATAAATGTGTACAATTTCAGATATCAGTTTAAAAATAATTACAATGAAAAAGTCATAATTGGAATGTTGAACTACTACTGAGTATTATTTCATTTGTAGTAGAAGGATCACACAAGAGATTGCCAGTGTACTTCCAAAATTCAGCTAAAGAGAGATGAGTATTAGAGAAGAGCAACTGAATGTTGTTCCTTTTAACTAAGAAAACTTTTATCACAGGAAGTTGCCTTGCTTTTTGTCTAAGGAAAGAACAAAAATGAAAGTAGTTTATGTAACATCTATGTTTTAAAAAAAATCAGTAATGTTCTTATGGTGCTATCTGGCTGAGAGTAGCCTATCCCACAAAAGCCTGGGTCTTACTCATGTAGCAGAGATGATTAGTATAATAGAGACTGATGCGTTATTTATGTTATCATAGCTTTATAATCATCTGTTCAGGTGAATGAACTAACTCCACTTGCTTAGAGTTCATGCCTACCAAAACACTTTCTGAATAATATCTGACTCCCCATTAGATTTGCTGATGAGGAAAGAAAACACTGACTCCGAACATGAGTAGCCTACTTGATAGTTATATTTCTCACTATAAATTAATTCATTGAGATCACAGTTTTTACAATTCTCTTGTGACTCTGTAATATTAAGATTCAACTTGAGTAATAATGTTCCATACCAAAAAATTTATTACAGAAGTAGCTTTCATTTTTTAGATTGGCATATAGCTCAACAGTTCAGAAAAAAATACTCTTTTTATGTCTTTTGCATGCTCCAAATGCATGGAAAAATAACACATTTCAGGTAGATTACAACTCTTATTGATGTGAGAGAGGATCCTGACATACATATAGGTATTCCAAGAATCATTCCTGTGGGAATGAGAAGTGGTATAGGTTTGCTGTAAAGACTCATTTATAAAAAGGTTGAAAATACAAACAATTTTTGTAATCAAGTAACCAACATAAAGTATTGGCAATACTTCAGATAACCTTGAGTAAACAGAGCCAAATGAATCAAGTCTCCAGACTGTTTTCTTCAAAAAACTATTTGCTCTGTAGGAAAAAAACTTAATGTTTCACTAAAAATTTCCTTCTTCAGTGAGCCCCCTTCTTAAACAAATGAAATTTCTCTCCAGATAATTTTGCTTTCTTCATTTTTTATCTTTTAAGCAATAAATATCTTACTATATTGTAGGTCTTCATATTCAACCCAAAGTAACTTTACAACACATACTGTGGTTTTGGAAGTTCTGCAGGTCACCAAAAAATATTTTCTTTCAGTATCTGCTCATTATTCAAAGACTTCTGTGCCCATTTGTGTCAGTAAAATACCTGAGATTTATTCCAGGGAAAATAAAGTTGCAACATTGACATTTTCATCTTTATGATAGCCAATAAATTCTGAATTTTCTCCTAATGACAATTCTACCTTATTGATGTTTCTCTTGTTTCAGAATTTCAGTGGGATTCTGACTCATTTTGATCAGGATAAAACTAAATGGTTGAATAAATAAATCCAGAGTATTTTACTAAGTTTAAATTAATAGAAGTAATTTGGGAGATACTTCTATATAAACATGCGAAATAATTTGTAATTAGCAAGACTATTTTTCAATATTATTTATTTTTAAATTCACAATAATTGTTTCTATTTATGGGGCATACAGTGATGTTTTGATACATAAAATGTATAGTAATTAGCACAACTAGCATATCAAGATTCTCAAATATTTATCATTTTTTGTTTATTGGGAACTTTCAATATCTTCTCTTATTGAAAATATTTGGTATTTTCTTGACTATAGTTATGCCATAGTGTTATAGAATACTATAACTTATTCCTCCAATCTAGCTGTAGTTGTGTATCCTTTAACAAATTTCTCCCTATCCCCCTCCCTGCTTCTTCCTACCATTCTCAACTTCTAGAATTCTCGGTTCCAGTCTTTACTTCTGTGAATTTAACTTTTTCTGCATATGAGTGGGACATGCAGTGTTTAATTTCCTCTTCCTGACTTATTTTACTTAGCATAATATCCTCTAGCTCATTCATGTTACCAGAAATGATGGGGTTTTATTCTTTTTAATAGCCACATAGTATTCCATTGTAAATATATACCACATTCTCTTTATTCGTTTCCTCTTGGACATTTGGGTTGATTCCATATTTTGGCTATTGTGAATAGTGCTGCAATAAACGTAGGGTGAGAATATCTCTTTGACATACTTACTTCTTTTGGATAAATATCCAGTAGTAGGATTAATGAATCATATGGTAGTGCTATTTTTAGTTCTTTAAGGAACCTCCATACTGTTCTCCATAGTGACTGCACTGGTTTACATTCCTACCAACAGCATACAAGAGTTCCCTTTTCTCCACATCTTTCCCAGCATTTGTTATGTATTGCCTTTTTGATAATAGTCATTGTAACTTGGGTGAGATGACAGCTTATTGTGGTTTTCATTTGCATTTACCTGATCATTAGTAATGCTGAACATTTTTTACAAATTTATTGGCCAAAACCATGATCAAGTGGGATTTATTTATCCCAGGAATGCAAGGCTAGTTCATGATATGCAAATCAATAAACATGATACATCACCATCAACAGAATAAAAGCCAAAAACCACGTAATAATTTCAATAGATGCAGAAACAGCATTTACTAAAATTCAATATTCTTTCATGATAAAATCACTCGACAAGTTAGGCAAAGAAGGAAAGTACCTCAACACAATAAAGGCTATCTGTGGTAAACCCACAGGTAACATCATACTGAATGAGGAAACCAGAAAGCAAGAAGGAACATCCAAATAGGGAAAGAGGAAGTTAAATTATCTGTGTAGACCATGTGATCTTATATATAGAAAAACCTAAAAACCCTAAGAAAAACCTTTGGGAACTGATAAATACATTTGATCAAGTTGCAAATACAAAATCAACATACAAGAATCAACAGTGTTTCTATACACAAATAACAAAGTAGCTGAATAAGTAACCCCATTAGTATAGATACAAAAAAAAAATAAAATGCCTTGGAATAAATTTAATGATGGAGGTAAAAGGTCCCTCCAAAAAAAAAATAGTATAACAAACTGATGAAAGAAATCAAAGAAGACACACAAAAAAATGAAGAGAAATCTCATATTCATGAACTGGAAGAATTAATATTGCTAAAATGTTCATACTATGCAAAGCAATCTACAAATTCAATGCAATTTCTATCAAAATACAAATGATATTCTATACAAAAATAGAAAAAAATTAACGTTTGTATGGAACCACAAAAGATCATTAATAGTGAAAAATAATACTGAGCAAAAAGAACAAGACTGAAAGTATGAGACTACTAGATTTCAAAATATACTACAAGATTATAGTAAACAAAACAGCATACTACTGGCATAAAAACAAACACATAGACCAATGGAACAGAAAAGAGAAGCCAGAAATAAATCCACGTTTGTAGCCAACTGATTTTTGACAAAGGTGCCAAGAACTTTCACGGGGGAAAGTACAGTCTCTTTAAAAAACAGTTCGGGGAAAATTGGATATCCAAATGAAGAAGAGTGAAACTACACCCTTTACCAAATGTATTGAAGCACTAAATAGACTGAAGCTCAAAATGGATTGAAGACCTCAATGTAAGACTTGAAACTATAAAACTACTAGAAGAAAACATAGGGGAAATGCTTCAGGAAACTGATCTGTGAAAAAGATGTGATGACTAAGACCTCAAAAGCACAGACAATAAAAGCAGAAACAAACAAATGGGGTTAATGTAAACTAATAAGCTTGTACATGGCAAAGGAAACAAGAGTAAAAAGACAACTACAGAATGGGAAAAAATATGGGCAAACTATTCATCTGACAGGGAATTAATACCCAGAATATGTAAGGAACACAAACATCTCAGTAGCAAAAAAGCCAATCATCTACTTGTAATATGGGCAAATGATCTGAATAGCAAGTCTAGGGTTTTTTTCCTTTTTTTTTTTTTTTTTTAAGAATTGACATTGATGAAGTGCTTCAAGTTCTTTTTAAATTTTTGTTCAGTCTTTTATCACATATTGTCATTTACACATATTGTCAATTTCAGTGAGATATACTAATGGGCAATATACTTAATAGGAATTACATTAGTAAATAAAATGCACTCTTTTTCCTTAAAGAGCTCTCAAAATATTAGGGAAGACACACCTTCTAAGGACATAAGTGCATGCCAACTTTATGTTCTAAATAGTCATATTGACCAGTCAGCCAAACGTGTGTGAGTGGATTGATTGTATATTCTGACAGAGATGTGGAAAATACTGCCTTGAGTTTTTCCATCTTACCTTTTGGTTGGCCCTTACATTGAATATTCTGATAGATTGTAGAAAAAAGCATGGCCTTAAAAACATTTGCTTCTCTAGCTGAAGACACAAGCAAAGTGTCAATGCAGATAGAATAAATTTCTCATATTTGACTTATAGCAAAAAAGGGAAAACAAGTTGAATGCATATGTATATTAGGGTAGATGTAATCCTTCCAGATAGAAAGAAGGTACTTATGTAGTTTGCTATCCAGCTTCTTCACTTGTAACAGGCTTTTCCATTTTTTATTCCAGGCAGTGATTGTACATAGACATGAGCTGCCCGACAAAATAAACAAAACAGAGCCAATGTTTTCGACTGCAAATAACTCCAGCTCCTGGCAAAGTATGCCCAGATCAAAAATCAATGCTGAGAGATGGACTCCACAAAAACAAATTAACTGCACTAGTGACTTGGACTTGTTCAGTAAACTTTTGCTCTGCTATTGCTTAACCCTTATTGTGTCAGGAATCCAATCAAGGAATACATTACATATTAGGCAATTATTTTTTAAGTTATACTTTAAGTTATGGGATACATGTGCAAAACTTGCAGGTTTGTTACATAGCTATACACGTATCATGGTGGTTTGCTGCACCTATCAACCCGTCATTTACATTAGGTATTTCTCCTAATGCTCTCGCTCCCCTAGCCCCCCACCCCGACAG
The DNA here is from genome assembly GCF_000001405.40 of Homo sapiens. NCBI lineage: Eukaryota > Metazoa > Chordata > Mammalia > Primates > Hominidae > Homo > Homo sapiens. The sequence goes on along the minus strand of NC_000011.10, from coordinate 99,645,791 downwards.
GCCCAAGTGTGCAATGTTCCCCTCCCTGTGGCGATGTGTTCTCATTGTTCAACTACCACTTATGAGTGAGATCATGTGGTGTTTGGTTTTCTGTTCCTGTGTTAGTTTCCTGAGAATGATGGTTTCCAGCTTCATCCATGTCACTGCAAAGGACATGAACTCATCCTTTTTTATGGCTGCATAGTATTCCATGGTGTATATTACCACATTTTCTTAATCCAGTCTATCATTAATGGACATTTGGGTTGGTTCCAAGTGTTTGTTACTGTGAACAGTGCTCCAATAAACATACGTGTACATATGTCTTTATAGTAGAATGATTAGTTCAACTACTGTGGAAGACAGTGTGGCGATTCCTCAAGGATCTAGAATCAGGAATACCATCTGACCCAGCAATCCCATTACTGGGTACTGGGTATATACATTAGGCAATTATTTTATTGACAAACATATACATCCTCAGAGTAGTTTAAGTCTCAGAAATTCATAGGCTTTTTCTCAATCTTTTTTTTTTTTTTTTTTTTTTTTTGTTGAGATGGAGCCTCGCTCTGTTGCCCAGGCTGGAGTGCAGTGGTGCAATCTTGGCTCACTCTAACCTCTGCCTCCCTGGTTCAAGCAATTCTCCAGCTTCAGCCTCCCGAGCAGCTGGGACTACAGGAACCCAGCATCACGCCTGGCTTTTTTTTTTAAAGTAGAGACGGAGTTTCACCATATTGGCCAGGCTGGTCTCAACTCCTGACCTTGTGATTCACCTGCCTCAGCCTCCCAAAGTGCTGGGATTACAGGCATAAGCCACCACGCCTGACCTCAAAATTTTTTTTTTCATATCTTTTTGTTTGTTTCTTAATGTTAAAGTTTGGAAACAGTTTCTGGAAGGTATTTAAAATACGAAGTGCAATTTTACATATAAGAATCTAAAGCTGTATTTATTGTTAAAAGAAAATGTCTTTTAAAAGGAATCCTGTTGTATAGTTCCTTTAGTGTTTATTCTTTGAGTATCAGAATAAAAACAACATATTAGAACAAAAATCTACTAGGCTAAATGTTCAAATATATCAATAACTTGTAGTGCTTTGCTCAGTTGCTTAATTAGTAAATATTTAATATAATTTGCCAAAATAAATTTAGTTGAATTGACCAACAAGCAAAACATGTTTTAAATGGCCAATTTTGACTGATTTCTTGCGCTTATATTTACAACATATTTTTAAGGATTTTTTTACAATATTGATGGGAATCTGTGAAAAAATTTTAAACGTCAGAATTCTAATGGTGAGAACATCGTTTTGCCCATTTGAAATCCTATAGATAGGAAGAATTAATTATTTGACTTGAGATTCATTTCTAAATTATTAGTTATGAAGTGATATAGAGCTAAATATGGTTCTACTGTTTGCTTCCTCAATTCTTCCACATTTCAAGGACAGTACAATCCAAAGGCAACATTAAAAAAGAAACTAAGACCTTGCCAATTGTGAGGTAGCAGTTTTCCTTCTTCACATATGTGTTCAAAGTGCTCAACTGGAACTCAAAGCAAAACGAGCAAAGGAAAAAGACGTAATAGGAGGAGTTTCTGATTTGACTCCTCTCCAAGACATGGGTCAAATTTCCTCTTTCTACGCTAGAGACAGTCTTTTTTGGAAATGATATTTACAAGTTCAGTGGGCATATGGGCATATGTTTAGAGGCTAACACATGAAGGTGTAAGTAGCTTTATATGTGAAGCTTTATGTTTTTGTATATAGAAATTCTTACATATTTAATTCAAAATATTTTAAGGGTAAAATTATCATGTGTGCATATAGAATATGGGCTTTGCATGGGACATGTATTTCTGGCATACTGAAAAAATTGTTTATATTTTTAAATTACTGAAATTTGTTAAAGCCACATATATTGTTTCAAAAAGTTAATATAGTTCTTTTACATTTTTAATTAAAATTATTTTGAAATATAAGAATTTAAACATAGGAAACATTATTTCATTTTTTTCTAAATATATGTTACTGGAGAAACTCAATTCCATTCCATTAGAAGGACCATAGGGTTCCCATCTATGTAGGGTTTGTGTGGCTCACAGTCAGAAAGTATACCAGCTGTGCTTAGAATATATGTGGAATAACAGTAAGAGCCCAGCCAGTGGTAGCTATTATTATAATTATTGTTAATATTAACAACATTAATATGTCTTGGCAATCTCTATTCCTTGTTTTATGCATTGCAATTTATTGTTCTAAATAATATATGTACATTCACTCATATAATACTCAACAAACCTATGAGATAAGTATAGTTATCATCCTTATTTATAGATATAAAAATTGAAATACCAAGTAGTAGAAGAGTTTCCAGAATAATACATTGCTGGAATTACAAATGCTCGAAACAGAATGTATAATGTCTGAGGTAATACAGCTACATATCCATTCTCTTAATCACAAGGTATTGCCTCATTATGTATCTATATTCAGATTACCTCTGTGCATGTGTATTATATAAAGAATCAAATATTCGTATACACCTACATTTTTACAGAGACATACCAACACCTACACACACATATTCAAGACTTTTCTAGTTCCCCATTATTGAGATTTTGCACATCCTTGTTTTGGTTGCATAAAATACTCCCATAGGAGTATTTCTAAGTTTTGTATGAGATAATCCATTTTTAAAACCTTATATATCCAAAGGAAATAAAATCAGTGTTCCACAGAGATATCTGTATTCCTGTGTTATTGCTGTACTATTCACAATAGCCAATAGGTTGATACAGAATAGACCTAAATATATATCAATCAGGTAAATGGGTGAAAAAACATGGTATACATACACAATGGAATACGATTTAGCCATGAAAAAGAATAAAACCTGTCATTTGCAACAACATGGATGAACCTAGAGGACATTATGGTAAGTGAAATAAGTCAAGCACAGGGCTAATACCTCATACTGTCATTCATAAGTGGAATCTAGAAAGTTGATCTCACAGAGGCAGAGTAGAGCAGTGGTTACCAGAGGCTGAGAGGGTAGAGGGGAGAAGAGGATGGAGAAAGGTTGGTCAATGTGTACAAAGTTATAGTTAGACAGGAGGAATAAGTTTTGGTGTTCTGTACAGTAGCGTGACTACAGTTAAAAATAAAGCATATTTCAAAATAGCTAGCAGACTTTGAAAGTTCTTACCAAAAGAAATGCCAAGTATTTGAGGTGACAGATATGCTAATTACCTGAATTGTTCATTACACGATGTATAAATGTATCAAAACATCACACTGTACCCTGTAAATATGTACAATTACTATGTGTCAACTAATGACAAAATACAAAGTAAACAATGAAAAAGATCAATAAAAAAAGCTTAATTCAGCATTTCGCACATATGGAGTGTTTATAAGAAAATTTCTATTACAAATGACAGAGATCCAACTTGAAAGATATTAAGAATTAAAAATTTCAAAAACAGGGAGGTTTTTTACTTCATAAAACCAAATGACAGAATACCACTGTAGAATCAGTGACAATCAAACAAGAAACCTGGATATTCTCAGGACTCTCAATTTCTCTCTGAATCTTGTTTTTCTGTATTCATGCCATTTTCTCCTATTACATAACACATCAAATGGAATTTTTCAGCACAGCAGGGAACATGACCAGAGGCTACTCAAGACTGGCACTCTTTCATTCTCTTAAGTAGAATGAAATCTTCCCTATCAGCTACACTTAGAAAAATCCCAGAAAAGGATGCTTGAAGATCTAATGTGGGTTTCATCTCAATCTTTGGCCCAATTATCATATCCAAAGGGAGGAGGTCACATGCTTCCCTGCTTTTAGGGGAGCTAGGGTACAGTCCTGGCAACCCTCAACTGAACCAAAGAGGTGGGATGAGGAAGAAGTAACGCTCTCAAATACTGGAAGTTATGGCAAACAAATAATGTTAGCTATTGTTGCTATTATGTATTTAATAGCAGGATTGAGCAGGGTTGGAAAAGTTGGGAGATAGGCAAAGGGAGGGAAGCTAAGCTGACCATGAGATCAGATCTGCCCAGGTTTAAGTTGAGGTTTGGTTCCACCTCTCCTGCTTAAATATTAATGGAATACTATGGATCCTGTGATGGCTGGGACTTTGACAATAATGGCACTGACTCCAGAAATCCCCATTAGCCGACATCTCTTTCATAGGCCAGATTCCAGATAATGATGTAGGAATTTCCGGTTCACTACACATTTCTACTTCCTAAGATGGGGTGGCTTGCCATTTCTCCACCCGTGAACTTCCAGGACATGCCCTCCTACGTCTCCTCCTTTAAATCCCTCTGTCTTCAGTCCCATACAGAGGTGAGAACTTCTACCTGTTCCCTTTGAGAACCAGGCCGGGAGGAGGATTGGAACCAATTCACAGTTTAGTAACTAGAATTGAGGTATTATAAACTTTTCCAGGTTGCTTTTCCTATTGTTTCATTATTATTATCAAAGTTGATCCTCACTGTTCAGGTAGTTCTTGGCCCTTTTGTTCCACTCAGTATTTCTTCTGATAATTCAGTGTGCAGACTTTGTCTGCATCTCCTTTTAAGAAATCCCAATAGCTGGATTATTTCAAGTGTAATGGCTACACCTGATAGTTTAAATCTCAATTTGTTGGAAAAAGATTATCCGATCAAGCTCTTCACAGCCATCTGTTTCTCCCAACTTTGCCCCCTCCCAATTTTTAACCTCCTTAAGTGTACTTACTTCAAATCTTAACTCATTACATTTCATGTCTCCTCCAATAATTAAGTTACAAAAGTATGTTTAAGCATCAACTGATGGTCATCAGTGAGATGTTAGTCTGACTAGGCAAACAATTACAGGAACATCAAGGTAGGTATGAAAAAGAGACCAAATCTTTGAGAACAAGAGTTGTGTTTTTACAGAAATAGCTGACACTGCATCTTAAAAATACATTCATGCATTGCTTAACAAGGGGGATACATTCTGAGAAATGTGCTGTCAGGCAATTTTATTGTGCAAATATCAGAGTATACTTACACAAACCTAGGTAGTACAGCTTACTACATACTTAGACTATAGGTATGGTATAGCCTATTGCTTCTAGGCTAAAGACCTGGACAGCATGTGCATTACTGTGTAGAATACTGTAGGCAATTATAACACAATGGTAATTAAAACATAGAAAAGTACACTAAAAATATAGTATTATAATTGACATGATTTGGCTGTGTCCCCATTCAAATCTCAATTGGAATTTTATCTCCCAGAATTCCCAAGCGTTGAGGAAGGGACCCAGCAGGAGGTAATTGAATCATGGGGGCTGGTCTTTCCCTTGCTATTCTCATGGTAGTGAATAAGTCACATGAGATCTGATGGGTTTATCAGGGGTTTCCGCTTTTGCTTCTTCCTCATTTTCTCTTTTGCCTCCCACCATAATTCAGAGGCCTTGCCAGGCATATGGAACTATAAGTCCAATTAAATTTTTGTTTCCCAGTTTTGTATATGAATTTATCAGCAGGGTGAAAACAAACTAATACAGTGTATCGGTACCAGTAGAGAGGGGCCTTGCTGAAAAGATACCCAAAAACATGGAAGCAATTTTGGAAATGGGTGACAGGCAGAACTGGGAACAGTTTGGAGGGCTCAGAAGACAGGAAAATGTGGGAGAGTTTGGAACTTCTTAGAGACTTGTTGAGTGGCTTTGTCCAAAATGCTGATAGTAATATGAACAATAAAATCGAGGCTGAGGTGGTCTCAGATGGAGATGAGAAACTTCCTGGGAGCTGAAGCAGAGGTGAATCTTGGTAACATTTTAGCAAAGAGACTGGCGGCATTTTGTCCCTGCCCTAGAGATTTGTGGAACTTTGAACTTGAGAGAGATGATTTAGGGTATCTGGCAGAAGAAATTTCTAAGCAACAAAGCATTCAAAAGCTGACTTGGGACTGACGTGGTGGCTCACACCGGTAATCCCAGCACTTTGGGAGGCTGAGGTGGGTGGATCACCTGAGGTCTGGTGTTTCAGACCAGCCTGACCAACATGGTGAAACCTCATCTCCACTAAATACAAAAAATTAGCTGGGCGTAGTGGCTCATGCCTGTAATCTCAGCTACTTGGGAGGCTGAGGCAGGGGAATCGCTTGAACCCAGGAGGCAGAGGCCTCAGTGAGCCGAGATTGCACCATTGCACTCCAGCCTGGGAAGCAAGATAAAACTCCGTCTCAAAAAAAAAAAAAAAAAAAAAAACATAAAGGTGACTTGGGTGCTGTTAAATACATTGTTTTATAAGGGAAGCAGAGCATACAAGTTTGGAAAATTTGCAGCCTGACTATGCAATAGAAAATAAAAACCCATTTTCTGGGAAGAAATTTAAGCTGGCTGCAAAAATTTGCATAAGTACCAAGCAGCCTAATGTTCATCCTCAAGACTATGGGGAAAATATCTCCAGGCCATGTCAGAGAGCTTCACGGCCATTCCTCACACCACAGGCCCAGAGGCCCAGGAGGAAAAAGTGGTTTCATGGGCCAGGCCCAGGGTCTCTGTGTTGTGTGCAGCCAAGGGACTTGGTGCTCTGTGTCCCAGCCACTCCAGGTGTGGCTGAAAAGGCCAATGTACAGCTCAGGCTGTGGCTTCAGAGGGTGGAAGCCCCAAGCCTTGGCAGTGTCCACGTGGTCTTGAGCCTGAAGGTACACAGAAGTCAAGAATTGAGGTTTGGGAACCTTTGCCTAGATTTCAGAAGATATATGGAAACTCTTGGATGCACAGGCAAAAGTTTGCTGCAGGGACAGGGACCTCACGAGAATCTCTTCTAGGGCAGTACAGATGGAAATGTGGGGTTGGAGCCCCTTCACAAAGTCCCTACTGGGGCACTGCCTAGTAGAGTTGTGAGAAGAGGGCCACCATCTTCCAGACCCCAGAACAGTAGATCCACTGATGGCTTGCACCATGCACCTGGAAAAGCCACAGACACTCAAACGCAGCCCGTGAAAGCAGCTGGGAGGGAGGCTGTACCCTGGAAAGCCACAGGGCCAAGATCATGGGAACCCATCTCTTACATCAGTGTAACCTGGGTATGAGATATGGAGTCAAAGGAGATCATTTTGGAGCTTTAAAATTGGACTGCCCTGCTGGATTTTGGACTTGCATGGACCCTGAAAACCCCTTTGTTTTAGCCGATTTCTCCCGTTGGGAATGGTTATATTTACCCAATTGCCTGTACCACCATTGTATCTAGGAAGTAACTAGTTTGCTTTTGATTTTACAGGCTCATAGGCAGAAGAGTTAAGATGAGACTTGACTCAGATGAGACTTTGGACTTTGGACTTTTGGGTTAATGCCCAAATGAGTCGAGAGTTTGGGGGACTGTTGAGAAGGCATGACTGGTTTTGAAACGCAAGGACATGAGGTTTGGAGGGGTCAGGGCAGAATGATATGGTTTGGCTGTGTCCCCATTCAAATCTCAACTTGAATTTTATCTCCCAGAATTCCCACATGTTGTGGAAGGGACCCAGTGGGAGGTCAAATGAATCATGGGGGCTGGTCTTTCCCGTGCTAGTCTCATGATAGTAAGTCTCATGAGATTCAGTGGGTTTATTAGGGATTTCTGCTTTTGCTTCCTCATTTTCTCTTGCCACCACCATGTACAAAGAACCTTTCACCTCCCGCCAAGATTCTGAGGCCTCACAAGGTACGTGGAACTGTAAGTCCAATTAAACCTTTGTTTGTTTCTCAGTTTCAGGTATGTCTTTATCAGCAGTGTAAAAACAAATACAATAATCTTAAGGGACCACTGTTACATATGTGGTCCACCATTGACTGAAACATCATTATGAGATGCATGACTATAAACCAAAAATAAAAACAACCTACAAGAGCCCTCTTAACACTTAACATGAAGGCTAGGCTAAAGAGAGGAAATGCTGAAAGGCTGGCTCAGAGACACAGGAGGATTAAAACCAGAGCTATGAATATAAAATGGAGTCTTTTGAATATGTATAAAATAATATGTAGATAATATTATATATAAGTAATAAGTAGAGACAAATAGGAAATGTAAAGGCAAGACTGATATAATAGTTAATTTTAAAGTAAAATAAATAGTTATATATTTTTGAGCACCTTTTCTATTTTTGACATTATGTGAATATACTCAAAAAACGTGAGAAGTTTAAAAACAAACTAAAAAGAATATGAGAAATGCCCATTTCCTACTACTTAAAAAAATACTGATTTTTAAAATTATTTTTCAGTAACCCCTATATGTAACTTTATTTTTTAGTAATTGGCACAGTCTTCATCAACCACCTGAAATTCTCCAAGATGAGCTGGATGTGAGTTCTCCCAATTCACCCTCTATGTATACATGTACATGATTGCCATGTGATGTGTTTGCTTATGTTTATTCAATTTATACAAGTATTATGCTATATACAACGCTAATTTTTTTCCTTTGATATCATGACATTGTGATTCATCCATGTTGATCTGTGTACATCTACTTTATTCATTTATATGCTATAAGGTATTCTATATGGCTATATATTATTTATGAGGCTTAGCATACTTTACTCATAGCTAATGGTTTAAGTTGTTTCTAAAATTTTGCTACTATAAACTGTCTCAGAATTTGGACAGGGTAAGGTAGAAAACAATTACATTTTAATGATTATTATCATTAAATAATAGGACACTTTGCCAAAGAGATACTAGAATATAGGAAACCATCAAAGTGACAGTGCCTATTCTGCAATACAGAGTCATTTACTTTTTTTTTTTTTTTTTTTTTTTTTTTTTTTGAGACAAAGTTAGCTCTGTCACCAGGCTGGAGTGCAGTGGCATGATCTTCGCTCACTGCAACCTCTGCCTCCTGGGCTCAAGTGATTCTCCTGCCTCAGCCTCCCCAATAGCTGGGATTACAGGCATGTGCCGCCATGCCCAGCTAATTTTTGTATTTTTAGTAGAGACGGGTTTCACCATGTTGGCCAGGATCGTCCTGATCTCCTGATCTCGTCCATCCCCCCACCTTGGCCTCCCAAAGTGCTGAGATTACAGGTATGAGCCACCGCGCCCAGCTGAGTCATTTACTTTTTAACCTAACAGGTTACTATGCTGGAAAATACAGCTACATGAAGAGTTGCCTGATCAAGTTTTGGCCTTTAGTAGAAGAACACAGGCAACTAACAGTGACTTGGTCTGGAGGACACCAGGGAACTAATATTCTAATCCTACATTTCTTTTGCCCTTCAATCTTCTACTCCTGTCACTGATAGCATCAACCCAAATAAAACCTGGAGGAAAAGGAAAAGAAAGGTCATTGGTACAGGACAAAGACCCAGCCTCCTAGAACACTGATAGGCCAGAACAGAAAAGGGTGGAAAGTGGATCTGAAGAGCAAATTGCAAACAACAACAACAAAAAAAAAGAAAAAAAAAAAGAACTCATTTGATTAACAACTTTCCTCTATGCTCATGTCAAACTATGTCTAAATATCTTGGCATATATTAGGGAAGATGCTTTTTCACTTTCATTGGGTAATTATTTGGCTAGGCCACCCAATCTCCCCCATATAACTATAGTACTGAAAATGTAAAAATAGTTAAAGATAAAAGTAGAATTCCCATTCTTTTTTGTTCTTAGATGATTTATGAAGTGTCCATTGGTATATGCATATGGGTATCTATTTTCCTAGGTCAGGAATTTACAGAACATTAAAAAAAAATGCTTTCCTAGTTATATAGTTTTCTACTTCAGTCCTTTTTTAAGAATGAAGCATATTCAAGAGACTAAAAATAAATTTTAATTAAATTTTATCCATGTAAAAAGGCTTCTAATTCTTTTTTCAAATTCATTTTCCATTGCAAATAGTCAAAGAAAGCAGACAAAAGCTTTTTCTTGCTTCAGAGTACTGGTTTAGTGCACCACTTGGGAAATTTTTTCCTGGGTTTTATACTTTTATAAATAAAGTGACTGTAATAAACTGAAAGCTGTGAACCCCCAAATGCCAGCTTGAAAATAGTAACAAAACTGACATGAACATACAAATACATAAACATAATTTATTTACCTACCATGAGCTTGTCATTTTCCCTAGGGATGCTGTCATTTAAAGGACATTTCTCCCTCTCCTCTTTGTTTTCACACCTATACACATAGCTGATAAATATATTTGTAAAAATAAAAATGCCACCACATCCCTGGGATTCAAATTCCCTGCAGAGGTTACTACTCAGAACACAAAAACCTTCCTCGACTCAGGAATTGGCAAGCAGAAAGGTAGGGAGTAGAGCAGTCATATGTAGTAGGCTCAATTTGTTTTATTACTTCTGCTAGGATTTCCAATTTTATCATCTACCATTTGCTAAGCTCCTGCTCTACGCTGTCCAGGCTGTTTAAAAATATGTAATCTCTAATTTTAAAGGAACTGTGAAATTTTGTTAACATTTTCCTCATCTTAAAGAAACTGGGCCTCAAAGAATTTAACTGACTCGCATAAGCAAAAAATAGCTAAACTGAGATTTCCATGAGGGTGTGCTGATCTCCCAAGTTTGCAATTGCTGATTTTCATGCTTTTGATTCAGAACACTCTGTAATTTTCACATTTATATATCAACATAAGTAACCTACATGTTGAAGATTTTGTTTGAAAAATACTGAAAATTAAAAAGGAGAAAAGCAATTATAGCAAGTGAAAAGTAAAAGACTTCTCTTTCTAGTCAAACCCACACCATTTCCACTTCTGTCCAGGAATAAACATTAATGGTGTGAGAAGCATTCCTTCTTTATTCCCCACAAATGTATACAGATATTAGTATATATTTTGTCTTCTATTTATCTATTTCCTATTTTCATTGCAATGAGCAAACCTTACGTTAATTACACCGGTGAGAGTTCCATATCTGTCTCTTGCTAGACAATAGGGTGGAACAAACAGGTGCTATGGGTGGAGGGACATTGATGACACGGGTCACCTTTCACCAGGAGAGCTGTCATCTTGCCTACTTCTGTTCCAATCCATCTCCGTTCTTGCCCAATACTGACTGTGGAAAGTACAAAGTGGAGTGACAGAGAAGAGACTGGGCAGAGTTCCTAATCCTTAGGAATACATTCACAAATGTAAGGTGTTTGACAGAGGGAGGGTGCTTTCAGATGCTTATCTGAGGAGTAGTGTATAGATTAGACTAAGAGAGACTAACAGGAACATTAGCATAGTCTAATTCAACCATATTTCCATTTAAATAGACAGAATCAAGTACTAAGTATCAGGGCCAAGATTAAAATACAAGTAAATATTTTAGTATATCTTATTCATAGAAACAACCTTCAGACACCGTTCGTGCCCACTGCAGTCAGTCTTCCCTCTCTACCTTTCCCCCGAAATTTTGCCAGCAATAATCAAACACCTTCAGAATTTCTAAATCCAATAAAGCCTGTCCACTTTCATCTAATTTGACTTGTTAGTAATATGTGCACTGGTGAACACTGTATTTCCTTAAATCTCCCTCATCCCTTGACTTTCATCACTGTTCCCTCTTCTTCTCTGGTTATTTTATCCCATTTAAAGTTGTACACATTTATCTTTAAATACCCATGAAGTGTAGACGTTAATCAGGTTTTGAATTTAGCCCTTACAACTTTTTCTTCAACCATGCAAACTACTTTCTAACACTATTTTCTTGCTTTTAATCTCCCAAGTCCACTTCCAATACATCCTGCATATTACTGCCTAACTTTTCTAAACACAAACCCGAGGATCTCTTCCTTACTTAACACTCTTTATTGCTTTGGAATGAGACAAAGTGTATGCTAACCTCTCAAGCAGTATTAAACTTTTGCTGTATCTGGACCTCACGTTTCTCTTCGACCTGATCTGCAGCCCGCTGGCACACGTGTCCTGTACTCTCTCCTGAAATTCTTGTCTCCCATGTGGGTCATGCTCCTTCCAGGCCTATGTGCATTTTAGATGCTTCTTGCCTAGCTCACTTTGCCCATGTTTTCTCACAGTATTTCAAAAGCTCTACACATCTTATGTGAAACCTTAAACAAACAAACAAACATAAACCCTAATATTGCTGCACTTTTCCTGATCAGGAGAAAGCAATGGGCTTTTCTTTTGTGGCTTTATAGCACCGAGGGTATATCTCTATTAAATGGTTTACTTTTCTGGGTGTTTTACTGTTGTTGTTTTGTCTTATGCCACCTTTCAGTATGAAGTACCTGGTAGATGATCTTGCTTGTAGAAGCTGCTTGATAAATATTTATTTTGTCTTATGTCACCTTTCAGTATGAAGTACCTGGTAGATGATCTTGCTTGTAGAAGCTGCTTGATAAATATGTATCGCAATATCCAATGATACTGGGCAAATTTTTCTGACTAATATTCAGTAGAGCCTTGCTCTTTATTAGACATGTGAGAAATGTCTCCTTTTTAGATCTGAAAATTAGCAGAAATATTTCTATTGTACAGTATTTCTAAATATGCCATTACTATACAATGCAGGCATAGCAGGAGCAAGGCCTGTATGCGTCAGTTTAAAAATAGGACACTTTGTGCTCATCAGATATGACAAATTGACAATTCTAGGAATAGAAGTCTATTCTTGTCAGGTTTATTATGCAATAAAAAATGGCCACTGAGAAACTGAAAGTTCTTTCCTCTTTTTAAGAATTCTGTAGCCACTTACTTGGAGGAGAGTTATTTCTGGAGGTTTCAAATGGGAGCTGATTCCCCATTTCACCATGACCTGACTCATACTTTTACAGTCCTTCATGCCTAAAAATTGTGAACTAACTTAGGGAGAGGGTGTATCTTTTTAGCATGCAAACAGTTACATTTCCGTTCAGATAATGAATAAATCCATTATTTTGCAGTATTTTGTCTCAGAACTCAAAGATGACTATTTTTGTAACCCCCCCAAGAAGATACCTTAAGTAATTAAGGACATTTGGATGGTTTCAACAAAACTCTTCTGAATATATGGAAACTGAATAATTTACCCCAAAAACTTTTCAAATCTGAAAATCTAATGCCAATCAATGCAAAACAACATCTCAGACTTTTCTCTATACATAATGGGAACATTAAAAATTACTGGATCTATACCATTTAGATCTAGACTCTACTGATTCAGTGGTTAATAACACTGTTAAATATATGTGGGAAACTAATTTTTAAATATTCTCTACTTTCAATTTTGTGAAGTTGAAAGCCATGAGTTCAGGCCACAAGCCTGCAGTATTAGAGTAAAAATCAATTTGGGGTACAAGTAAAGAAAGAAAAGGATTTCAAGAGTAGAGGACTCCCTAGTAAGACACAACCCTTAGATTTCTGTCTGTGTAATCCTGGGCCTTTGGAGTCATTCAAAATCATCCTCACCTTGGCTGACTGTTCCAACCCCTGTACTTTAGCTGTGAAATGGGAAAAATGACATGTTTACCCTAAGCATAATCACAGAACTCTAGTTGCAGTTCAGTTGAGAAAAGCTATAAAGATACTTGCATTATTACAAATTTAATGATAATTACTATGAACATTTACAGTATATAATTTTATTTCAATTAACATATTTAGCTACATTAGATTACATGTACATATTTGTACATTATTACATTTTAGCACTAAATTGTAAGACAATTTTAAGATGGTTTGTATAATCAGACAAATCTTAGTTTGTATTTCAGATACAGTATCCCCACTTATTCGCAGGGTATACCTTCCAAGTCCCCCAGGGGATACCTGAAACCATGGATGCACCAAACCTTCTATATTACTATGTTTCTTCCTATACATATGTTCTTCCTATGATAAAGTTTAATTTATAAGTTAGGTACAGTAAGAAGTCAACAATAACTGACAATAAAACTAGAACAATTATAACAAGATACTGTAATAAAAGTTACACGAATGTGGTCTGTCTCTCAAAATACCTACTTGTATTGTATTCACCTATTTTCAGACCACAAGTAACCACAGGTAACTACAACCACAGAAAGCAAAACTGCTGATAAGGGGAGACTACTAGATTCCAGTTACTTGCTGTTATCTTATACAAATCATTTAACTTCTCTGAACCTCAGTTTGTATGTGTGTGTCTTTGTGTGTGTTTTCCCAATGAGTGTGACAATACCAATTAGTCAGCTTTATTTTAACAAAGTAAAAAAAAAAGTATTTGAAATGACTGACATGATATTACTAAAAACTTACTACTGCTTAGCAATGTAACATTTATCACAAAAAAGTAAATACAACTGAATTAAAAGGAAATAAATAGAATACAATAAACTTTAGTCTATAATAAACAGTTTGGTTTAACTACAATTTTCAGCATTATAATTATTTTCAATAATGTTTTTATAATTAAACATTTATATTATTATTGATTTCGTTCTTTACTAATTCAAGCAGTTTGTTAAGTACCCTGAAAGTGCACTCTGTATTTTACTAATGCTATTACTATACAGGTTGATATTACACTGTACATAAATGGCTCATTATATGGGTCTGAAACACATCAAAGTTATTTAAGGTAAGAGGAATATTTGTATCCATTATCTCTTATTAAAAATCAAATGTTTTAATAATTCTATGTTTCTAGAAATTTAGTACAGTATTAAATCTCAAAATCTTATACTCCATATACATAAAGAATAAACTAACACTGTATTTCAATAAACTGAAAAGCACTCAGTGTGATTCTTTGCTTGTTGGTTTGTCATGATTAATTTCATGGAAATAAAACCCAGCAACTCTGCAGGATAAATTAGCAAAAGTATTTTGTGTTTTTAGTCAGGACAAATAACCTAACTCTACCTTTTTATGATGTGAAAAATAAACGCCTTTAGATTTAATAGATGCATTGATGCTGAGGATGAGGGATGAGTTAGGGAAAATAACAGTCCACGGTGCTTTTCAATGTGCATGAACAGGAAGTAATAAAGCTAATTTATCTCCAAAATAGCAAATTGCTTTTTAGCAAATGGTCCACAAGGGTGCAATAAAAGCAACAACACTGAAGAATCTTTGACATGGTAAATAATTAAGAGATTGGTCAAGGACTTGATATAAAGTTTCTACTGTCTAATCCACAAATAACTGAGGCCCAAGGGTATACCCCGGACAGAGAATGTGTTGAAGTAAATTGCGAACTCCAGCACGTAGAATTAATAGTTAAATATTAAAAGCAGACCTGAATTGTGACTAAGAAATAGGAAGATTTTTGTCTTGAGAAATTTGTGTTCTTTATCACATGTGGCCATGTGCCTGGACTGTGTGAAACGGGGGGTGAGGCATGATAGTTGCTATGGGGGTGCGGGGTGGTGAAAGACAGCTAATGTAATCATTTGAGTCACCTATGAATCCATGGTCAGAAAATTAATGTAAACCATGTTCACATGATTAGAAGAAATCAACATAGGAGAGATTAGACTAAAGGAAAGTCTCCTTATAAACCCTGCCACCCTGATGTCCTGAAAATTGCTCTCCAGAGGCAATTACTGTTAACTTTTTAAATGATCTTTCCAACCATATTATGTGTATATACATATATATATATATATATATATGTATATACACACACACATCCATAAGCAAAGTACATTTTGAAATTTGTCTTAAAACCAAATATTTTTGCAATTATTATTTTTAATCAGTACAAATCCATCTTTATTTTTAATGAATTATTTTATCGTAATTTATTTAATTATATACCTACTGATAGGCATTTAAATCACTTGATTTTTTTCAGTCTAGCATGGGAGTTACCAATTGTTTTGTTTTTATATCTCCCACCGTGTAAATCCATGCGTATCATCAATTCACTTCAATTAAATTAAAACTAATTTGGATATATCTATTGGAATGTTTTTATTTAATAATAATCTGAGCATAAATATTTTATATCAAGTATTATTTTTATCAAATATTTTATATCAAGTATTTTTATATTTTATATCAAATATTACCATATTAAAATATAATACAAATCAGTCTCCACTCTAACATTTATTTGACTGTAATTATATATACAAAATGCTAAGAAATGAATTGAGTATCTCATTTTATATTTTTACGGAACCTAGCAATAGGCTCTGTATAATTGTGTCATCAGAATATTTACATAAACATCGAGTAGTAAGAATTAAGGTTTTTTAAAATTATATGTACATCAATTGTTAATTTTTTGATGATGAGAAAAATCTAATAATTTTTATTTTTAATATACTTTCCCCATAAATCCTGTACCCCTGATCATTCCTTTATCTTATCCCCTTAATATGCTAATACTTATTTAACTGTATAGACTAGGAACAAGGATGTTAAGATATTCATAGATAACTGTAGGATAATAAGACCATTTGGGCCATTTCTTAATAGATCCTGAGAAAATGTCTGTTCCAGAAGAGTAAAGACCTCAAACAATGGTTTTTAGAATTTAGAGGAAATTACTTTTTAAACTTTGGGACTCTAGTCCAAATAGAGACAAGAATAAAATCTCACCACCTAGTGAAATATCATTGTTTTAAATTAGTTATTTCTTATCTGAAGTTTCTAAAGCAAAGGAACAATCCAAAATGCCTTAATTCAATCTTTTATATAATAATTTTGTGGCTACAAAATAAATTAAATTATCATCACCATTTTTGCCTCTTACTATGCTAACAGTAATAAGCTTTACATTCTTTTCATTAGTAGGCCTGTAATTTCTGGCATTGACCCAACATATTTATTGTTTTTTCTGTGAGTATTTAGTAAGGCAAATTTCAGGAGCAGTTAATAATTTTAAAAGTTGACTTTTTGTTTGTTTTAGTATTTAATTTGTACTTGTGAATATGTGCTGAGTCTACCAGATTTTTTCCAATAATGCTCTCACAAGCAAGTGCCACTATCTCAATTATCTTAACAGCAAATTATTTATAAATGAACTGGTTATAGCTTTTACATGTTTGAGGTTTGTAAACAACTTTGCTTCTAAAATATAAGGGAAGGCCATTATTTAGATGCAATTCCATTTCCCTGACAAAGTAGGAAAAAAATCAAACAGAAGTAATTGATGCCAGTTTATTTCCCTGTGCCCTTTGTTAGCTCTCTAAATATTTTCTTACCTATAAGATTTATGAGCTGTTATATTCAATGTTGATAAATATTATTTATCTCTTTCTGTGTGTGTGTGTGTGTGTGTGTGTGTGTGTGTGTGTGTGTCATTATTTAGCTTTCTGTTTCTTGGCCAATGGAAGTGTGTGTAGATAGACATAATTCAGATTTTTATACACGTTTTGGTTGAATTAATACCTGTATATAATACACGGTACATTGCAGCCAACTGGGAGACCAGTTTTACAAAGCATTGGAGGTTGATTAAATAATGCAACATGATCTCAGGAATAACAGATGCTTTACTTTAACACTGGCATAATTTCCCAAGTACCAGAAATAAGTGAGGTTATGTTTTCATTAAAGATGTGGTGTTTCAATCTAGAGTTGTCTTTCCTTTTAGGCAGTGTTGTCTCTTAAAAACAGTTAAAGAAAATACAATGCATAGGTAATGAAATTTCTAGATGGGTCAAATGTTTACCCTAAAAATACTACTACTAAGTTTCCTAGTTACATTGTGAGTGATAATGATGATAAATTATAGAATAAATTAGACTTCAATTTGTCTGCAATTTGAACCAAGTTGATGCTGAAATGAATACTCTAATTGCTCCTTTTAAGGCTGCAAGAGACCTTGTGTAACCAACGAATACATTAAGACTTTTGCCTGATTAAATCCAGGGGTTCATTCTACCAAACATGTTCAGTTTAAGTCAAAGTAATCCAACACAAATAAGAATGAAATGCCTACAATTTGTAGCTGAATGTGCTTCCCTGATCTAGTAGCCAAGTTACCCATCTGATACACAATTTTATTTTGGTGAATGGTCAACAAACCTAGGAACAGGGGAATAATCTGCATGATATGGGGAATCCTGAGATAAATAAAACATTTAACCTGTCTGCACAAGACTTGTCAGTGCTCTATTTATATCCTTTCAGATCTTGTCCTTTCAATGCCTGGCTGGCCCAGATATTAAAGACCAACAAGTGCATAAGAGCTTTTTCTGGCCTCCAACTACATTTTTAGGGCAGTGCTTGGTAATTAATGCCACCTGAGCTTATTTTAATACTTGAGTGGGTGTGTAACCAGCTCATTCTCCTTACTCGTATAATAAATTAATTCTGAGACACATATTTCTTCTAAATTCCCCACTGGGGTTATAGTCTACATGATAACCTTGAAGTGTTATTTTTAAATTATTTTCACTTGTAGCAGGAACTGAGGTTTACTATTTTAATGCGGTGTAGTTTTTTCTCACATTAAAAACCATATTTTTCCATTTCGTAACATTAATCATGTTTGGTATTACTCATCAGATAAACCTTCAACTATGGTAAGAATAGTTTTTGTAACAGAAGTTGTATCAGTCAAATTTTCATTAAGAAAAATAAAAGCTACAAGCCACTTTAGGTAGTTCAGTTTGGAAATGTTCAATATGGAGAAACAGAGGCTTTAAAAACTGTTGGAAGGGCTAAGAAAGTAAGGCGAGGGATATAGCTGCTAGAATCTAGTCATTCACATGGTCAGTGACAAATCTTGGCAATCTCATGGAGTGTGGGCACCAACAATTTTCGCTGCCTGCAACACGAACAGCGAGCCTCTCAGGGGACAGGCTTCTATCCACCAATCTTTCTGCAACTAACCTCTCCACTTCTCCCTTCCAAGCCTTGAATGTTTCTTGGCAGATTCTCATCTGAAACTACATGGAGAAAAGGAAACTACGGAAAATTGAACAATGAGGCTGAGCTGACTAAGGATAATATAGCAGAGAAATGGTACTTTAATTTACCATTTTCTTCACCCTCTTGATCATTGTGCAATTATACAGGAATACTTTCTAAAAGAACATACATTTCTGTATGCATAGAATGTATAATGATCAAGTCAGTATTTGGGGCATCTGTCACCTTGAGTATCGTTTCACTGTGTTGTGAATATTTCAAGTTTTCTCTTCTAACTACTTTGAAATACACAGTATGTTCTTAACAGCGTAGTACTCTCTAGGTCTCCCTTAAAATGTCAGCGATTCATGTTTTAGATTACATAGATCTTTATCCTCATATATAGTATTTTATACAAAAAAAATAAAATGACATACTAAAAATGTTTGCAATTACATGCAGAAAGCCAGCACTGCAATCTCTAGCAGTGATTCCTTCAGTCTGGTGGGGCAATAGAAGACTTCTTGAAGAAGGGCAACATTTGCACTGGACTTGAGGGATAGGCAGGATTTGGAGAAACAGAGATGTAAAGAAGAGGCATTTCAGCTGCATCAAACTAAATGAACAAGGCAAAAAAAATCTATAAATACTCTGAATACTTCCACTAAAACAGTCTTTAAAGTGTCCTTCTATTATTCCGTGATGTTAAAAAACAGTTTCTCATGTTCCAACTTTCTTAAAACCTCTTTACCAAGTCGGAGGCACTGAACAATTTGGATCCAAGCAACCTTTCCACTGTCAATTCTCATTAGTCCCCTACAGAAAATCTATGTTTCCATCAGGCTGAATTAATCCCCATCCATAGAGCCGGGCTCAATGTCACCCTCTGTGCATGTCTTCGCTTGCATGACTCCTTCTTCCTGCAATTTCTACAGCGCTTCTCTCCATTCTCCCATTCACCCCTTAACACATCTCTGTGTGTCCTTCACGGCCTCCCTCATAATTTCATGAAGTTGGCCTCTTTCTGCTCCCATTTTACATATTTCCCTGCTTTGATCTCCTTTTATGTGTTTTGAGAATACATATTAATCCTAAATTTCATTAGATTTATGTGTGTGTGTGTGTGTGTGTATATATATATATATATATATATAATCTTGCCCTTATCATGAGCTCATGAGACTTGACATAAAGATCATATTTCACTCATCTTTCTACTTCTTACGTCATCGTGAAATATCTAAAAAGTATCTTTCATGAAACTCTCTCAATCAATATCTTTTTAATTGAATATGATAAAGGAGTCAATAGTTTCATTACCTCACCTGAAGAAAAGTGATGGGATGTATGTACAGAAAAAAGGTCTTTATAAGATTTAATGATGTACTTCCATAGTCATTTATTATTAATAGCTGTTAAATTTCTGGAGAAATGAAAATGACTTCTAATGATTAGATAAAATATGTACATATCTTAATGTATTTTGGTCATTAATTAAGAAACCCTTTGGTACAGTTGTTACAATAATGAAAATTGACATTTCCTTTTTCTGTATTGAATCTCACAGAATATACATTTAAAAATAATTCAGATATACTAGGAAATAACCAGTATTAGTAGAACCTCCACTGACGGGGAAAGAATTATGTTACTGGTGATGTTACTCTTCTATTTAGACTCATGACTTTCCAAATAATGTGTTTTTTTATCCCTCTGAAACACAATTGCTTTGAGGCTTAGTGACTTAGAGGTAACAAAAGTTGTTTGCTCACTCATAGCACCCACCTGCATTCTTCCACAAAGTTAATTCTCATCATTCAGTAGAAAAGCCAAACAAGAAATGGATTTGGGACAAACAATAGATCACTGTGAAATTCAATAGCAGATGAGTATAAAAGAAAAAGGCACTTAATCTATTTCCTGTCCTGCAGGGTGACTTTAACCAATAGATAATCTTTCATTAATTCTGGAACAATTATTTACTCTTCTGCCATGTGTCCAACACTGGACTAGATACTAGGCAGAATGAAATGGAAATCACCACATGGTAAACAAAACAGCATCTCAGGTAACTGGTAATGCTCTCTGATCACGTCAAGTGAAACAAACACCATGGTGTCAGCACTAGCAGGCAAGGGTTTGAGCTGTTTTTCTACATTCTCCCTTTAGGGGTGATGGGTTCCTAAACCATCTCCATATTCTATCTTCCTGACTGATGGCCTGTATTTGCAGAAGCAATGAGCTATATTTGGAGAAAGATGAAGTTTGTGTACATGCAACAGTGTATCACCATCAGACATGTATCAGTCACATTTGCCAAGAGCTTAATAACCGTGCTGCCTGTGGCAGGGTGCTTCTCAGAATGGATTTCACCATGTTATGCTTTCTCAAATATATAAGAATGTTACAGCTATCTATTGAAAATGAGAAAAGAAAGCTAAAATGAACTTTAGTCAACTAAATTGACTAAAGCAAAAACTTGTTCTGGCAATATATGGTCAAAAATTGTTATTTTTCTCAAATTTTATGTTCACTCTCAAAACCCACCACCTCATCTGATAAGGAGGATTAACACTTACCTAGAAACTCAAACATTATTTGAAGTGAGCTCAAAAAACAAATGCAACTTGTAAATTATCAGTAGCTAAGAAATGACTAGCCAATTAGAAGGACAGCTTCTAAACTGCTCAAATGTCAACAGTGAGACTACTTAAGGCAGAAGTAAACAAAATAATCCTTTAATACAGGCCGTACTTTTATTTGAAAATGTTTCACTTTTAAAAGGATCAACAATTAAAACAACTATTATATAGATAAGGTACTGATCTAGGCAATGCATACACAGAAGGGCACCGAGAAATAGGTTCTGCTTTCAAAGACCACTCAGTATTCCTAAGGACACAGTACAAAATACATTCATTAAACTATTGTAATGAGAATAAGCCTATGAGGAGACATGCTGATAAACCAAATGAGGGTTCAGAAGATTACCATCAAATTTCCCTGTTAACTTTTCTTTAGTTCTTAGTATATTGAGATACAATTTTATCTTTTGATCAACAAAGTTAACAACTGAAGACAGAATATCAACTTCTCACCCTTAATTTACAAGTTTCTGTAACATCTTCATTAAACAGTATTTTTAAATGAGAACTACAGTTATTTAAATGATGTATGTCAGAAACAAAGGTTTTGATAGCTATCCAGGTTACTACGCACCCCAATATCAATTTATAAATCAAATAGTATATATCAGTACAAATAAATACAGATACCTTAGTGCACAGCTTTTATCTTTTTTTTTTTATTTTTTGTATCTTTCTCTGCTAAACATTCTTTTTCTCCACTACTGTTTGTTGGTAAAACTAGTTGAGATTTCTTTTATGGAACTATGCCTCCCTTTTCTCAACTCATATGACATTCTTGGATTAGACCCGAGACCCTGGGTTTGTGGGTGAGAATATGGCCTTCTTCATTTTCTTTGTCACAGTAATTTATCTGTGGAGAGGTTATGTAAGTCAAAATATGCTAATGTAATCAGCAATTTTCTTAGATACACTGTTGAAATATTTGGGAAAATGGATGCTACCTCCTAAGAATGTAAGCTTGGCAAGACTGTTGACTATCAGTGCCATCCTACTGGGGATGAAGTGGCTGAGAGCCAAGTTCATGCAAAGAAAAGCAAAACTTAGTCAAAGATAGTATCTTGACCATATAATTTGAGCCCTGGGATCCAGTTGAGCTTAAGTTATTGCTACTCCTTGAACTTCCCACTAACTTGGGTTAATAACTCCCCACATAATTTGTGGCATAAATTATTTTTAGTGAGGTTTTATCACCTACAGCTGAAAAGACCCTAACTAATATAATTTTAAGCGGTAAATAGGTACCAAGGACACTTGTAACTCAGAAGACATCACTAGGATGAGGGGGATTATCAGGAAAACCTTCATGAAACAGAGGTTACATTGAAATGAATCTTAAAAAAATGAACAATGTACTGCTATCTATAACAAAGAAGGCAATGCTACTTTCAAGAGTAAGAGAAGCCCGAGGATTTTTACAGAATGTAGAGTCATTCTAATTGAGACAGACACTAATTTAAAGTTAAAGCGAGAGGACTGTGTAGGGTCCCAGTAATGTTGGAGGGTTATGTTTGGAGAGCCATTAAAATTTTTTGAAAAAGAGCATGCAGGTTCACTTGGCACTTTTTTTTTCAGTTTTCTAATAAAAAGGTGAAACAGAATACCATGGGGAAAAATCAATTAACAAGTTAGCAAAAGTCATGTGTATAACCTTTCCAGGGAACGGGCCTTTTCATTGAATAATCAATGCTATAACACCTGTTCCCAAATTTAAGAATACAATGAAATTTAGATTACCATCTCTGTTAATTAGCATTCTACTAAAAGCTCAGAGAAGTTGGCTCAGCATCTATGCTTAAATCTTCCTTTCATTGAAAAAGTGATTGATCCTATTCCACACCTTAACACACAAGAGCAATATAAAGTACCTGAAAAACCACACCACTTTAAAATGCAGTCTCTATAATCTTCCCCAGATAATCAGAATTTTCTACTTTGTTGACTAATACCGAATAAATCTTTTCCTAGAGTTTTGGCACAATCATGTTTTTCATTATCTCTTTAGACCAAAACAGTTGTTTCCATTACAAATTCAGGAAAGAACCAAAAGCTTTCTTCTCTTTAGTCATACTATAGGGCTTTAATTTCATTAAACCAAATTGATTGCAAGCTTGTTTACATTTAAGACAGCCACGTGTTGTAAATTTTATTTTAAATCGTTGGAATATATGATACAACAAAATTAGGGGAACAGTCACCTGCTATTGCAAATATACAGTTATTAACTTGCTGAATTCTACATGTGAATGAAAAAGTTATGTAAATGAAAAAGGATTTTCACTTAGCCAAGTACTAGGCAACAGATAGAAGATGTGCTCAATGGCTGCCTTGGTATGGGGAGGTGTAAGGGCTTATACTCAATTAGATATTAACCACCCAAATGTGTGTAGCTCTAAAGTGTTCCAGATAAAACGAGTCAGATTTTATCCATGATGTTAGAGAATTCAGTCAGCTATTTAGGAAATGGTCAGTGGATAGCAGTGCCAACAAAAAAATTGTGGTCAACATTTCTGCTTAAAGGCATGCTATAGAACCATGCCATATAATTCTATACTCACTGGTAAATGTTCTAACTTTTCAATTAGACTTATGTGGGCAAATATAAGAGTGCTGGGAAGACAATTTCGCATGTGTGCTCATCAACTTTTCTAATTTTCAGGATAACTTGCCTACTAAAAGAAGGTTAATAAAGAAATGTTACAGTTGCAATCTTAAATATTATGAACAAATTCATATGTTGTTCTATTACCAATGAAAAATATTACCAATGCAAAAATTAGGAGTAATGTTCACCTGCTCAAAGCCCTCGTGATAGATTATAGAGCAGTACAAAAATTATCCCAAATATCGCAAGCAAATATTTTAATATTTACTATTTTTGTATTATAAAGATATATTATTCTTGAAATGAAAACAGTGTTCTCACTACTTGTAGCTGTTTTAATAATCTTGGCATCTTTCTATACAGTAATTCACTTTAAATATGAAAAAATATCCTTTTTTGATATATTTTTGTGTGTAACTTAAAATTTACAATCTGGTTATATTCATCAGTCAAGTACACTGGTTTTGCTTATTTGTTTTTTGACTCCAATTTAGCCATCTCCTGACTCCAGGCTTTTCCACATCATTACCTCTGATTGCTTTTCTCATTTCTGCTCTGTCTGGTTAACTCGAATTTAACACCTCAACTTAAATGCAATGCTTTTGGGTAGTCTTTCATCACTGGCCATGACTGAACAATGGTTCCAATCCTACATGCTCCATAGTATCCTGTGCCTACTCCTATCAGGGCCCTTACAATAAGTATCTTTGTATTATAGTTGCCCGTTCTACCACAGACGCCGTACTCCATGCAGGTAGACTTTATGTGTGTTATTTGTATTCCTTTTGCCTAACATAGTGCCTCACATTGTTTGAATGAAAAAAAATAGGCATACAAGTATCCATTGAATTATTTTATTAGAAAATGTAAAGAAAAAAAATTCTAAGTATAGTTAGATGCTTAAATTTCTCTAAAGTTTTTATTTTTCTGTCTCTATTGGTGTATATTTACTTTCAACTCTTTGATGATTTCACAGTTTTATATCTTGATAACTCACAGTCTCAGGAACCTGCTTTCTGATTTTTGAGAGTCCCCTATTTTTTTCAAAATGAAAACCACTATAAAATTGTGTGCTGCTGATGGCCGGGGGGGAGCGGGGGCCTAGCTTTCCATCGTTTGATTTTCTATGCCCACTATTTGATATGCAACTTGTTACCTTTCCTGGGATTTCTGCTGATACTAACTGCTTGGCCATCAGCCTTTAAAACCAGGCATGCAGTTAACTATTTTAGGCATAGCTTATTTATTCATTTTACTTTTCATGTAGTTAAAGAGCAAAAAGAAAAAAAAAAAAAAGAAAAGAAAAAAAGAGTTTTAAGATCCTGCTAAATCATTAACTCTACTCAGAAAGCAAAATACTACTGAAATGTCAAATGAAAGACATAAGAATTTGCAATATTTATAATTAAATATTATATGCTGGCAATGAATGTTTACTTTTTATTTAATTGTATACTATTAAGATATTTTTAAATGTACATTTAGAGATAAAGACGAGGTTAAAAATATTAAAAAGAGGTTCTGGAACTCATTATGGATAAAATAACAATGAACACAACTGGGAATAATTATACTCAGCCTTGAGGACAAGCTTAACGCTGAAAAGTGGCAAGCTTCTGCAGCCAAATACTTTTCGTCTCTTAACCAATATGTATCCTGCAGATTTACTTTAAGCACTTATAAAAATATTAAAATTTAAGTTTAATGAAAAGTAATTATAGATTAACATTGCTTAGAGCCCTCAACTGATCTAAGCTTTGTTTTTTGTTTTTTTTTTTTGAGACGGAGTCTTGCTCTGTCGCCCAGGCTGGAGTGCAGTGGCACGATCTCGGCTCACTGCAAGCTCCGCCTCCCGGGTTCACGCCATTCTCCTGCCTCAGCCTTCCGAGTAGCTGGGACTACAGGCGCCCGCCACCATGCCCGGCTAATTTTTTGTATTTTTAGTAGAGACAGGGTTTCAGCGTGTTAGCCAGGATGGTCTTGATCTCCTGACCTTGTGATCCGCCCGCCTCGGCCTCCCAAAGTGCTGGGATTACAGGCTTGAGCCACCACGCCCGACAGCTTTGTTTCTTAGTATTTCACATTTTATGTAAGACCTGAAAGAACTTTTTAATCTTTAAGACTCACTCTAAAGAAAAACCAACTTATTTACTAGGCCTCGATCACAGAGTTCCAAAATTATAGTTTATTTTTTGAGTAATGTATTTAAATCTCGTTTTGATGCAAAAAAGTATAAAAATACTTTTTCTACTCTTAAAAATCACAATCAAGCAGAACTTCAGTAAAGTAACAAATTTCTGGAGATAGATGGTGATGACAGCTCCATGGAAATGTGAAATGGAAGCAATTTTATACTTAAAAATCATAAAATGGTCAATTTTAGGTTACATGTATTTAACCACAATAGAAACATAACGAAAAACCAGACAGAAATATATATTATGTTTAATTAGTTGCTCATTGAGCTATTATAATACATTTTACAAACTCAGAATTAAATTTGTAAACTTTTGTGAAAAATTTAGAATTTAATATAGGCTCTATTGATCTCCAATTAGAAATATTTTAGGATATATAAATAACATTGTTAAAATCTAATATAGTTTTTTGATTTTTTTGTTTTAACAAAAAACTCTGATTTTAAGAATTTTGATGGAGTCAGTTTTGATCTTGAATGGGACAAATGGGATAATATAACTAAAGCATTCTATTGACAATTCTGCACCTTTTTTTCCATTTGGTGACATTAAATGATTTTATAAGCTTTCATTGAAATGTCTATTATTTTATTCACTACATGATCTAGATGTGCATTTGGCATGTGAAGTCAGACTCATTGATTAATAAAACTTCTGACAAAGTTGTGCATTATGGCTGGGTTAGCCAAACAGTTTAATATCTAAACCTAGATATTCTCTTTAAATTTTTTATTTTTAATTTTTGCAGATAGTAGGTGTATGCATTTATTTATGGGGTAAATGAGATATTTTGGTACAGGCATGCAATGCATAATCATCACATCATGGAAAATTAGAAAACCCAAATATTCTGAGAGTGAAAGTATTAGCCTGGTATAACAGACACAATCAGCAACAGTCCCAGGTTAACTAGATTATATGTTTATCTTATTTATTGTCCATGTATTAGAAGAACTGATGACAGGCTTAATCATTGTAGTTTTCCTCAGTAAATCACTATGATTGAAAAAGAATAATGGCAACATCTATTGAGTGAAACTTTGTGCTGAAGATAGAAATTCTTAGGATACCAATTTCCTCTTCTGGTAGGTGACAAAGAACAGTTAAATTTGGTTATCTGCTTTCACGTAGATTACACAGAAGATGAAGCTTAGTACATGAAACTGTGAGTGATTAATCAAGTGATGAATCAATATACTTACCATATATTTGTAAAATGACTGGCACATCAAATCATTGCCCAGTTGAAAGCAATAAAAGTGCTTCCACCCACCATGTTCCTGCCTTCGGTTAGTTTATAAGAATTTCATGAAGACTATTCAACTTCCAACAATTTTTATATTAATGTGTTTGTTTTAAATGAATCAATACATGTTTTATAATCTGAAATTTGACATCTAATATAGTCTTAATAGAAGCCCTGTAAACACAATTTTTAGGAGGGTAAAGGTATACTGAGACCAAAAATTTGAAAACCACTTTCCAGACCTCTGCCAAGTTTTAGGTATTTCTTTTAAAATTCTCATCCTTGAATATAGTTAAAAATATTTACCCCCACATACTTTGACACCATTCAGTCACTACTCCACTCCTTCATTAAAGTTCTATGAGTACTTTATTGTGTGAGATACTGTATTAGGGGCTGTAATTACAGATAAAATAAAAGCTTTGTTGTTGAGTAATATGTTCTCTAGTACAGGACATGGGAATGTTAACCAATAATGAACAAAGTAGGTAATAAATTCTGTGATAAAACTATGTGTAGGGCACTATAGATGAACTGTTAGGTGGAATTTGTCTTTCAACATTCATTTTACCGACTCATTTGTCTCAGTGGTTTCATTTTATACATTTATTTATTCATACTTCCTTTTGGTTTGTCTTCATGTGTTAAGTTCTTCTGTCTCCCCAATGGATAATGCACAGAATTTGGTAATATATTGATCTCAATATTCCTTTGCACATCGAAAAAATCTCCTCTAGAACTATAGGGATCTCAAGTTCTAAAATGTTTCATAAGTTGTCATTGAGGAAAATAAGAGATTAGAGTATCTTTTCAAAGAAAAATTGTCATTAGTCTCTACTAAAGTTTATGTGTCACTTTTCTATGGACTAATATAGCCAAGCTTTATGGAAACTTTGTCAGAGCCTTCGGGAAGATAATGGATAAATCACCTCCATTGTGTCTATCAAAAATCATGTAACAAACATCTGCACTAATATTCCTTGAAAATGTACTATTATCCTTCTTAGAACTTTATAAATGTTTCATTTATAAAGAAACATACCTGTCACCATCCCCTTCAATAATAACTTACACTGCAGCCAGGATGGTTTTTCAGAAATGCAGATCTGAACTGATCATGCTACGTGGTTCTCAGGTTGGAAATTAGACTAGTTAGCATATCTTAAAAGGTCCTTCTCTCTCAATCTTTGAGTTGCAGCCATATCAAACAATTGACAGGTTTTTGTTTTTGTTTTTGTTACGTTTTGTTTGAGATGGAGTCTCACTCTGTTGCCCAGGCTAGAGTGCAATGGCACAATCTTGGCTCACTGCAACCTCCACCTCCTGGGTTCAAGCAATTCTCCTGCCTCAGCCTCCCGAGTAGCTGGGATTACAGGCACGTGCCACCACGCCCAGCTAATTTTTATATTTTTAGTAGAGACAGGGTTTTGCCATGTTGGCCAGGCTGGTCTCGAACTCCTGACCTCAGGTCATCGACCCGCCTCGGCCTCCCAAAGTGCTGGGATTACAGGCGTGAGCCACTGCACCAGGCCATAATTGACAGTTTTTTAAAGGACCTATGCTTTCCTTAATTCCAGCCTCTACCCTCTGTGAAAAATATTTCACCTTCTTTACCTCCCATGTAGTCATCATCTGTATCATCATCTATATCAGTTTTTATCACTTCCTCACATTCTTTCCCCAAATTCTAAGTTAAATTTCTTCATAGGTTTTGCCACAGCAACCTCCACTAACTCTTATACTGCTATATAAACTGCTATATAATAGCCTATTATCCACATTCTCTACTAGATTATAAGAAAATATCCATATTCTATTCATATCTATATCTTATAATCTGGTCGAGGATATGGGTAATTCTCTAGTCAGGGACAAACATCATAGCAATTTCTATCATAGTGAATTATCAGAATTATTTTATCATAACACCATGAAGTACATGGTATAATATACTCACATTATAGTTAAGAGAACTGATGTTTAAGGAGATTAAGTTCAAAGTCACATGGCAGGAAGTGTAAAGCCAGGGTGCAGAATCAAGTAGTCTGACTTTAGAGCTTAGACTATTATTATTCTTAATGATATATCTTATGTGTTATTTTTATTTCTAGTGACTGCCACATCGGAATGGCAAATGTTAGGGGAAGTAGAGGGAACAGAGCGGACTTATAAAAGGGTAGCAAGAGTGATTCTTGAGGTGATAGAATAATTCTATATTTTGACTTATACAAATCTATAAATGTCATAAAGTTGCACAGAACTAAAAACATACAATGCTTACATGGAGAAGTGTATACAGAACAGGTGTAGAACATGTGAAATCTAGGCCAGTCATGGTGGCTTACACATGTAATCCCAACACATTGAGAGGCCGAGGAGTGCAAATTACTTGAGCCCAGGAGTTGAAGA
Organism: Homo sapiens; assembly: GCF_000001405.40. NCBI lineage: Eukaryota > Metazoa > Chordata > Mammalia > Primates > Hominidae > Homo > Homo sapiens. Next base: position 99,615,951 of record NC_000011.10, on the reverse strand, counting down.
CCAGCCTGAACAAAATGGCAAAACCCTGTCTCGGCAAAAAGCACAAAAATTAATCCCAGCTACTCAGGAGGCTGAGGTGGGAGGATCGCTTGAGTGCAAGATGTGGAGGTTTCAGTGAGCTGAGATCATGCCACTACTCTCCAGCCTGGACAATAGAATGAGACTCTGCTCCAAAAAAAATTAAAAAAAAAAAACAAGATGTGTAAAATCCAAATAAAGTGTGTGGATTTTATCAATGTCAATTTCCTGAATGTGATGTTGTACTATAATTACACAACATACTATTAATACCAGTAGGGGTAACTAGTTGAAAGGTACATAGGACTTCTCTGTACTATTCTTGGCAACTTCCTGTGAATTCCTAATTATTTCAAAACAAAAAGCCCCAAAAGAAAAGTAAATCAAAAGAACAAGTCAGTTTCAGTAGCTAAGCTGTCATCATCAGAAGAAGGGATATCACTATTCATCCAAATATAGGTAGGAAAATTGTGGATTAGGTTTCACAAAATCAGTAATAATTGAGTAAATTTTCAATAAAAATTCTTCTTAAAAAGTTGGGTTTATACTAACTTGAAGTTAAATTCTAATCTTGTGATTTTATAAAGAAAAATCTATTAACAAAACAATGTAATTTTGATGGTAAAAATAGTCAGTTTAGAGAAGTCCAAAAGCCAAAAGTACAATTAGAGCCCAATAACAAATGAAGCAGATCCTCTCATTTGCATGAAACAAGAACAAATATAAGTAGTAGTTTCAAGTATTTATGATTTCTTAGTTATCAAATAATTAATCTTGGTAAATTTTTTCTTATTCACTCTTCCTCGGCAAGATACATTTTCTTATATACACATTTTATATCTATATAATATATATTTTTATATATTTATGATATATACCATTATATTGTTATATATAATAGGTATATATAATAAAATAGATATAGTATTACTTCTATATTTATCTGTCTCCCTACCTACCTACACACACATGCACACACACACATAAACAACAGTACGGCCATTCTTAGGAAAAACTTAAATTCTACCTTGTTCTTGAGAAAGTTCATCGTAAGGATTATAAGCTTACAGAAAAAGGGGATACTTCTTTATAGGTTGTGCTTTGTGTTGCTATTGGCTGCCAAGTTATTTATCAAGTGGGGTACAATAAAAAAAAATAAGGCAATGGACTAGGAAAATAGGGTTACTTTCCATCAGTTCCACAGTTCCAGCCTCACAACACAAATTTTTATTGTTAGCATTTAAGCACCTGGATCGAGGAGCAAAGATCTGTAACAGATTGTCGCAGAAACATCCAGCAAAGCCCAGAGAACTGGGAGATGCACAGTGGATACTGGATTCCTTTTCCACCTCCCAGCTCTAACTCCTCCCAACCCCTAAGGCTAAGAATCACTAATCCAATTCAGTGCCTTTTTCTTCCCTTAAACAGCCAAAGGGTGTATGTGATCTCTCAAGCCACTGAGACAAGCCTTGCTAACAGATGGAGTCCTTAAGTCAGCTATTTGTGGCTCCCACCATCCCTCCACTCGTGGTGCAATGAAAAAAGCAAAATATAAGTATGAAAGCTTGAACTTGAGAAAACCATGTTTATTTTTCCCTTTACTCTGGATTGTTTCACTGTTATTATGACTTGATTCGGAAACCTGAGAAATGATTGTATGTACATGACAAAAATAAACAATGAATGAAAATACTTCACATAGATATTTGGAATTGATATAGTAAAAACAAGCACATAGGAGTGTAATACCTATATGAAATAATGCAATTACAGCTTGTTGCTACATTTGGATAAAAAATGATTAAAGCTGCCTAGCCTAAATTCTTCCACTTTCAAGTTTATTTTGACTGACAGAAAATGAATATTTCAAACACATATAAAACTTTGCTAATCTTTTGGAAACATAATTCACATGCTATATAGCTATAACAGAGTTTTATAATTATTCTATAGTTATAACAATGCAGAAAACAATTCAGGAAACATTTTGACTCATTCCAATATTTTTAGCAAAATCTAGATTTTAAACATCTAAAATTAGCCAAACATAAAGTACAAGTTAACAGTTTACATCAAAAATATTTATTCTAAAATATATTTGTGCAAATAACCCTTCATTTTATTTCATCTGACAAACTTTATTTAGTGGATGCTTTTTAATTCCATCAAATCACAAATGCAAGTATCTATTATCCTCAGAATAAAAATGGTGAATCATTATTTTGTCAAATATATCATCCTGATATTACTTTACTATAAGGATTTTAGTTTTTTATATTTAATGCCAAAATAAAGATTAAAATTTCAATCTTTTTGCTGCATATTATCGGTACTTTTTCTCTCTCTTCTTATCCCTGCTATCTTTATTGCCTGCTTCTTGCCTGATTTTATTCTCGCTTTACTTTTTGCTATGTCCTTTGTATAAGTCTATTTTCATGCTGCTATAGAGAACTGCCCAAGACTGGGTAATTTATAAAGGAAAGAGGTTTACTTGACTCACAGTTCAGCACGGCTGGGGAGGCCTCAGAAAAACTCACAAACATGGCGGAAGGCGAAAGAGAAGCAAGGACCCTTCTCCCCAAGACTGCAGGAAGAAGACAGGCCCAGCGAAGCCGGGAAGAGCCCCTTATAAAACCATCAGATCTCATGAGAGCTAACTCACCATGGCAGAGAACAGCACGGGGAAAACCGCCCCCATGATTTAACTACCTCCACCTGGTCTCTTTCTTGACACGTGGGCATTATGGTGCTTACAATTCAAGATGAGAATCAGGTGGGGACACAAAGCCTAACCATATCATCCTCCTTTGGCTTTTTTTCTTTAATGATGGATGGTGCCTGTGAGCATCGTGGTTGTGGACTAAAGACCTTGAGCCAGAAATCTAGCTCTACTTTGCCATTTGGCTTCCAAACTTCCTGGAGTGTAAGTGACTCTGAAACCTGCCAATTCCCTGGGCTCCACACTTGCATTGGCTTTCTAACCTCAGTTCTTGTTTCTGGGTCCAGTGCTCTCAGTTCCTTGCCCGCTCCTCTTTATACCACTCATCTGTCTACTGGTGTGTCAACTTCACTTCACAACAGTGTTGACATCTCCAAGGCCAGAATTTTGTCTTAGTGCATTCTGAATCTGGCAGAGTGCCTTTCAAATAAAGAATAATAAATAGTTGAAAGAGGGAATCATATGAAATGTTATATGAAAAAGGGAATGAGTCATTGAATGCATAAAGTGAAGTTAAAAAGATTAATAAATGATAATGCCTGTGTTTTGAGAAACTAGAGAACCTTTCAATTTTGTAAAGGCAGCTTTGGAGAGCTCAGGCTCCTACGTTGTTGTTTCATGAAAGACTTAGAATCCTCCAGATCAAAAGTTTTTAAAAAGACTAAAGAAGACAATATGGGTTTAATTACTGTACTATAATAGATGTTCAATATACTAGGAAGGGAATTCAATAGGGTTTTTACATAGTACAGGTGGTGTAATTTTTAAGCTTTTATAAAAAATTAACTTTTTACCTACTCAATTTAAATTACGTAAGAGGAAGATGGGGTCAGAGGGATTAAGAGAATAATCCTTAGATCCACAGGTGATAAGTGAGACAGCCTTTCAAGCAGGTGCATCTGACCCCAAACTCCAAAAACCCATTCACTTTCTGCTGCATCTTGCTCAAGTAGAAATTACATCAGTCTTGAGATCAGAAAACCTGGTCAGACTTTGCAATATAGTAGCTTTCTGATTTTGAACATTCCGTTGAACAATTATGAGTCTCAGTTTCCTCGTAGGGATGGTCTAAATAATATGATGTACCTCACAGAGTTAGTATAAAGACTCAGAAATTCTTATTGCAAGTGCCTCCTACATATCAGTTGCTGAGTAATGTTATTGATCTATTTTGAAGGTTGTGGCTCTAGTGAGCCCTTGAAAAATACAAAATGCAATCATGAGTATGGATGACAACCCCTGTTAACTCTGCTTTTTACTCTCCCATATGGAATAAATTCCACAAAATACCTCCTTCATTGTAGGATTATAGAATTCTATTATCCATGTTAGGTGTTCAGGTACTATTCTCAAAGACCTTTCTTAAAGTTATCCAAAAGTATAAAACTGCCAGTCTATCCAATTGGCTGTTAAGACAACTTTTCCATATGTAATTTTGTTTCCTGGTCAAATGAAGCTATTAGAATGACGGAAAAAAGGAAGCATATTATACCTTTGTAGTGAAGATTGTGTATTCCTCCATCCACCTTTTTCAACTACTTGGGTTGATTATAATATACATGAATCATGAAAGAGTTGAAATTGGTAAATTCATAGCTATTGAATAGGACTACTGATTTAAATATAGTTTACTTTAAATTGAACACAAATCCATTTTCCTCTGTGTATTTACTCAACCACAGACTCTATTAATGCACACTTAGAGAATTTGAACTGACTCTTATTTTACATTTAACTTTTCTAAGCCGCCAGATAAATACTAGAAGGACTGTGATTAATTGTACGTCTTTAGTAAGATTTATCTCCCTTGAGTCAACCTGATAAATTACAGCTGTATATATTTTACTCAGATGAATTATATCTGTTTGGGGGAATCTCTAAATACTGGTGGGTTTGAAAAGCTTTTAGAATGTATCTGTTACTGACTACACTATTGAAATGCACTATGCTGTAGCTGAGTATTCTTTTGATGTAGTTATTATGGGTTAGGAAACTCCTGTGATAAGAATGTGGACAATATGTAATTATTCAAATAAACTTTTTGATGTATGAAGGTACAGCAGCATCTATAGGAAAATGACAGCCTAAGCTGTCTTTGTTGGCACCTTGAAAATAAAGTTTGAAATCATTTGCATCACATTAAAAAAGTGAATGGAGACCTTTACTTTGTGATCATTCACCAGCACCTTGAGTGCAAAATACCATGAAGGCTCAACTACATTAGTAAGCAGTTTCAATGATTTGCTTTGGTGTGCACGCGTACTTGGGTACTTAGGATTGTGTGTCTACTCCCCGCTTTTTTCTAAGCACATAGCGCTGCTTATTTATTGCTCTCTTTAACAAATATTTCTCTTTTGCTTCTGAAACCATTGCTTCTTCCATCCCTGCTATACCCTTACCTTGGGGAAATCTCTCACACTTGCTCCCATTACCTGGAATATTTAATGAAAACAACCTAAACTAAGCTTGCGACCTTTCATTATAGCTATCTATCTAACTTTTATCATTTCCTAACATGCGGCCACTGGAATCCCTGCTCGGTTTAATATCACATGTTCTTCACATGTTCCCTTGTAGTAATTTTCCCGTCTGCACTGAAACTACGTTTTGCTTTCACCTGATAATTATATAAATGTCACCATCCTCTCTTACAGAGACCCATGTCATGAAGTAATAGTTCGACTTCTTACAAACTAATTTTACCTCTTTGAATCTGATTAAAGCACTGTCTGGAAAACAAAATATGTTCTAAGATCCCTATCCACCTTCCTCCATAAATTCATCATTTGGATCCCATTATTTCTCATCATGTTATGTCTAGTCCTGGTCCTAAATATTGGTGTGGGACTGAGAATCTATACCTGACTGAGAAATAACACCAGATAGAATATGATGCATCAGGGCCAGACTCAAATAGGCCATTACATCAGTGATATTTTCCTATTGGCAGACTAGAGAACCCATTAATAGAACCCCTACAGTCTGAATATTTTAGAGTTAGTTGGGAAAAAGGGACTTAATATTCGCTTAATCCTTCTGTATGTCATACATTATGCTAAGTGTTTTGCACACATTAGAAAGCAGGGTTAAGTGTTTTGACTTTTGAACTAGACTGACAAAGCTCTACCATATATCGTCTTTGTGGCATTGAACAAGTACCTGAATCTCGATTTCTTCATTTGTATTAAAAGGATTAACAGTGCAATTTATCTTATAAACATGTTATAAGGATTGAATAAGGTAACACATGTGAATCACTATACATAGTGCCTGGCACATAGAACATGAGGAATTTCCATTAACTGCTATTACCTCTGTCTTTCTAACAACCCTAAGAAAAAGAAAATGGCACTGAGTAAAACTAAGGACCTTGCAAAAAGAACTACACCCAGTAAACAGTTGAGCCAGAGCACTAATATTGTTTCTTTTTCTGTTTTCAAAGTCTATATTCTTTCCACTATAATCTTCTACCCAATATAAACATCACCTCAACAGTGGCTCTGAGAGATGATGATACCTATCTTATCTCAATAATCTAAAGTTCCTAAGTGAATGAGCCTGAGAATCTGTTCCTATGTTCCTGATGAACCTGCTTCATCAGCCAGAACCAGGATAGGCATATCAACCAATTCCTGTTTCTTTCCTCTTTTCCCTAATAATCAATTCCTAATTTTCTACTTGTGTCTTCCTGGACTTCTGTGTGTTCCACGGCTCCCTGAATACATTAATGATTACATTAGGCATCAGCCATAACCTTATGAAAAGAAAAAGAACCTAGACAGGTGGGGTCTTTCTGATCTGCACAGGTATCACCCATAACCACTAGTATTATGAGGAGCCCTTCCTTAGTCAGATGCTCAGAATAATTGCTTACCACTCATCTTTTGGGGTCTGTGTATCCTTGCTCAGAATAATTGCTTGCCACTTATCTCTTTGGGTCTATATATCCTTGTTTATCTACTGTTTTGTTGTTTATCAAATACAAAGAGACATCAGTATTGTAACACAAGTTTAAACAACCATAAGTATAAATAAGCACAAGGCAAGAGAACACAAATTTGAATTCTAACTGGAGTTTTATACATTTATCCAAAACATCCATTCTAAGCTATATGGATCATCTGTCATAACCACGTCATTTCCAGGAAGAAAGGGAGACATTTGGGAATAGTCATGTGAAACTGGCATACAAAGCTAAAGGACAAGTTTAAGAAAATGGGGTGCATATTTATCAGTGAGAAAGGAGAATAAGTGTTGAAATTAATTTTAATAGAGCAGATTGCAATGTCTATGTCCATTGCTAGATTTTAATACTCCTACAGTTCTATGATCGCCACTTAATGAACATTCATAACTATTGAGACTTAGAACTCATATAGACACACATTGTTCTTGTCATAATAATCTACATACATATGTGAACTAGAAGAATGGAAAGCTAGATGATTAAGTTTACTGCCTGTAATAGCTGACTAGGGCTAGTGTAATGAAGGACCACAAATAGAGTGGCTTAAGCAACACAAGTTTAGCATCTCACAGTTCTGGAGGCTCTGAGGATAAAATCTGATCTGGGGTCTCTCTACTTGGCTTGTAGATGACTATGTTAATCTCCCTGTGTCTCTTCATATCATCTTCACTTTATGCATGTTTGTTTCTGTGTACAATTTTTCTCTTTTTATAAGGAAACCAGGCTTACTGGATTAGGTCCCAATCTCATCAACTCATTTTACATTGATTACCTCTGTAAAGGCCCAATCTCCAAATAAAGTCACATTCTGACCAGGGAGGTTAGAAGGTCAACATTGTTTTCCTTGTAAGACAAAATTCAACCCATGCATTGCCCTTACTACCTAGTCTAATCTTACTGTTTTGTAGACCTGATCATTCTTGCTGACATCAGTTTCCTGGGCAAGCAAACAAGGTAGTGGGCTGTAACATCTGCCAGTAACTAAAAGGACTTCCAATTCCTAGTATGCAGCATAGATGGGACAACACATATTTATTAAACATTTTATTGAAAATTATGACTTTTCAGCAGATAATATAGTAGTTTAAAAGAGATTGGCAGTATAGAAGTTTTGAGTTCACAAACACTGTGATTTTTTTTTTTTTTTATTATACTCTAAGTTTTAGGGTACATGTGCACATTGTGCAGGTTAGTTACATATGTATACATGTGCCATGCTGGTGCGCTGCACCCACTAATGTGTCATCTAGCATTAGGTATATCTCCCAATGCTATCCCTCCCCCCTCCCCCGACCCCACCACAGTCCCCAGAGTGTGATATTCCCCTTCCTGTGTCCATGTGATCTCATTGTTCAATTCCCACCTATGAGTGAGAATATGCGGTGTTTGGTTTTTTGTTCTTGCGATAGTTTACTGAGAATGATGGTTTCCAATTTCATCCATGTCCCTACAAAGGATATGAACTCATCATCTTTTTATGGCTGCATAGTATTCCATGGTGTATATGTGCCACATTTTCTTAATCCAGTCTATCATTGTTGGACATTTGGGTTGGTTCCAAGTCTTTGCTATTGTGAATAGTGCCGCAATAAACATACGTGTGCATGTGTCTTTATAGCAGCATGATTTATAGCCCTTTGGGTATATACCCAGTAATGGGATGGCTGGGTCAAATGGTATTTCTAGTTCTAGATCCCTGAGGAATCGCCACACTGACTTCCACAATGGTTGAACTAGTTTACAGTCCCACCAACAGTGTAAAAGTGTTCCTATTTCTCCACATCCTCTCCAGCACCTGTTGTTTCCTGACTTTTTAATGATTGCCATTCTAACTGGTGTGAGATGATATCTCACAGTGGTTTTGATTTGCATTTCTCTGATGGCCAGTGATGGTGAGCATTTCTTCATGTGTTTTTTGGCTGCATAAATGTCTTCTTTTGAGAAGTGTCTGTTCATGTCCTTCGCCCACTTTTTGATGGGGTTGTTTGTTTTTTTCTTGTAAATTTGTTTGAGTTCATTGTAGATTCTGGATATTAGCCCTTTGTCAGATGAGTAGGTTGTGAAAATTTTCTCCCATGTTGTAGGTTGCCTGTTCACTCTGATGGTAGTTTCTTTTGCTGTGCAGAAGCTCTTTAGTTTCATTAGATCCCATTTGTCAATTTTGGCTTTTGTTGCCATTGCTTTTGGTGTTTTGGACATGAAGTCCTTGCCCACGCCTATGTCCTGAATGGTAATGCCTAGGTTTTCTTCTAGGGTTTTTATGGTTTTAGGTCTAACGTTTAAATCTTTAATCCATCTTGAATTGATTTTTGTATAAGGTGTAAGGAAGGAATCCAGTTTCAGCTTTCTACATATGGCTAGCCAGTTTTCCCAGCACCATTTATTAAATAGGGAATCCTTTCCCCATTGCTTGTTTTTCTCAGGTTTGTCAAAGATCAGATAGTTGTAGATATGCGGCATTATTTCTGAGGGCTCTGTTCTGTTCCATTGATCTATATCTCTGTTTTCGTACCAGTAACATGCTGTTTTGGTTACTGTAGCCTTGTAGTATAGTTTGAAGTCAGGTAGTGTGATGTCTCCAGCTTTGATCTTTTGGCTTAGGATTGACTTGGTGATGCGGGCTCTTTTTTGGTTCCATATGAACTTTAAAGTAGTTTTTTCCAATTCTTTGAAGAAAGTCATTGGTAGCTTGATGGGGATGGCATTGAATCTGTAAATTACCTTGGGCAGTATGGCCATTTTCACGATATTGATTCTTCCTACCCATGAGCATGGAATGTTCTTCCATTTGTTTGTGTCCTCTTTAATTTCCTTGAGCAGTGGTTTGTAGTTCTCCTTGAAGAGGTCCTTCACATCCCTTGTAAGTTGGATTCCTAGGTATTTTATTCTCTTTGAAGCAATTGTGAATGGGAGTTCACCCATGATTTGGCTCTCTGTTTGTCTGTTGTTGGTGTATAAGAATGCTTGTGATTTTTGCACATTGATTTTGTATCCTGAGACTTTGCTGAAGTTGCTTATCAGCTTAAGGAGATTTTGGGCTGAGACGATGGGGTTTTCTAGATAAACAATCATGTCGTCTGCAAACAGGGACAATTTGACTTCCTCTTTTCCTAATTGAATACCCTTTATTTCCTTCTCCTGCCTGATTGCCCTGGCCAGAACTTCCAACACTATGTTGAATAGGAGCGGTGAGAGAGGGCATCCCTGTCTTGTGCTAGTTTTCAAAGGGAATGCTTCCAGTTTTTGCCCATTCAGTATGATATTGGCTGTGGGTTTGTCATAGATAGCTCTTATTATTTTGAAATACGTCCCATCAATACCTAATTTATTGAGAGTTTTTAGCATGAAGGGTTGTTGAATTTTGTCAAAGGCTTTTTCTGCATCTATTGAGATAATCATGTGGTTTTTGTCTTTGGCTCTGTTTATATGCTGGATTACATTTATTGATTTGTGTATATTGAACCAGCCTTGCATCCCAGGGATGAAGCCCACTTGATCATGGTGGATAAGCTTTTTGATGTGCTGCTGGATTCGGTTTGCCAGTATTTTATTGAGGATTTTTGCATCAATGTTCATCAAGGATATTGGTCTAAAATTCTCTTTTTTGGTTGTGTCTCTGCCCGGCTTTGGTATCAGAATGATGCTGGCCTCATAAAATGAGTTAGGGAGGATTCCCTCTTTTTCTATTGATTGGAATAGTTTCAGAAGGAATGGTACCAGTTCCTCCTTGTACCTCTGGTAGAATTCGGCTGTGAATCCATCTGGTCCTGGACTCTTTTTGGTTGGTAAACTATTGATTATTGCCACAATTTCAGAGACTGTTATTGGTCTATTCAGAGATTCAACTTCTTCCTGGTTTAGTCTTGGGAGAGTGTATGTGTCGAGGAATGTATCCATTTCTTCTAGATTTTCTAGTTTATTTGCGTAGAGGTGTTTGTAGTATTCTCTGATGGTAGTTTGTATTTCTGTGGGATCGGTGGTGATATCCCCTTTATCATTTTTTATTGTGTCTATTTGATTCTTCTTTTTTTCTTTATTAGTCTTGCTAGCGGTCTATCAATTTTGTTGATCCTTTCAAAAAACCAGCTCCTGGATTCATTGATTTTTTGAAGGGTTTTTTGTGTCTCTATTTCCTTCAGTTCTGCTCTGATTTTAGTTATTTCTTGCCTTCTGCTAGCTTTTGAATGTGTTTGCTCTTGCTTTTCTAGTTCTTTTAATTGTGATGTTAGGGTGTCAATTTTGGATCTTTCCTGCTTTCTCTTGTAGGCATTTAGTGCTATAAATTTCCCTCTACATACTGCTTTGAATGCGTCCCAGAGATTCTGGTATGTGGTGTCTTTGTTCTCGTTGGTTTCAAAGAACATCTTTATTTCTGCCTTCATTTCGTTATGTACCCAGTAGTCATTCAGGAGCAGGTTGTTCAGTTTCCATGTAGTTGAGCGGCTTTGAGTGAGATTCTTAATCCTGAGTTCTAGTTTGATTGCACTGTGGTCTGAGAGATAGTTTGTTATAATTTCTGTTCTTTTACATTTGCTGAGGAGAGCTTTACTTCCAACTATGTGGTCAATTTTGGAATAGGTGTGGTGTGGTGCTGAAAAAAATGTATATTCTGTTGATTTGGGGTGGAGAGTTCTGTAGATGTCTATTAGGTCTGCTTGGTGCAGAGCTGAGTTCAATTCCTGGGTATCCTTGTTGACTTTCTGTCTCGTTGATCTGTCTAATGTTGACAGTGGGGTGTTAAAGTCTCCCATTATTAATGTGTGGGAGTCTAAGTCTCTTTGTAGGTCACTCAGGACTTGCTTTATGAATCTGGGTGCTCCTGTATTGGGTGCATAAATATTTAGGATAGTTAGCTCCTCTTGTTGAATTGATCCCTTTACCATTATGTAATGGCCTTCTTTGTCTCTTTTGATCTTTGTTGGTTTAAAGTCTGTTTTATCAGAGACTAGGATTGCAACTCCTGCCTTTTTTTGTTTTCCATTTGCTTGGTAGATCTTCCTCCATCCTTTTATTTTGAGCCTATGTGTGTCTCTGCACGTGAGATGGGTTTCCTGAATACAGCACACTGATGGGTCTTGACTCTTTATCCAACTTGCCAGTCTGTGTCTTTTAATTGCAGAATTTAGTCCATTTATATTTAAAGTTAATATTGTTATGTGTGAATTTGATCCTGTCATTATGATGTTAGCTGGTGATTTTGCTCATTAGTTGATGCAGTTTCTTCCTAGTCTCGATGGTCTTTACATTTTGGCATGATTTTGCAGCGGCTGGTACCGGTTGTTCCTTTCCATGTTTAGCGCTTCCTTCAGGAGCTCTTTTAGGGCAGGCCTGGTGGTGACAAAATCTCTCAGCATTTGCTTGTCTATAAAGTATTTTATTTCTCCTTCACTTATGAAGCTTAGTTTGGCTGGATATGAAATTCTGGGTTGAAAATTCTTTTCTTTAAGAATGTTGAATATTGGCCCCCACTCTCTTCTGGCTTGTAGGGTTTCTGCTGAGAGATCCGCTGTTAGTCTGATGGGCTTTCCTTTGAGGGTAACCCGACCTTTCTCTCTGGCTGCCCTTAACATTTTTTCCTTCATTTCAACTTTGGTGAATCTGACAATTATGTGTCTTGGAGTTGCTCTTCTCGAGGAGTATCTTTGTGGCGTTCTCTGTATTTCCTGAATCTGAACGTTGGCCTGCCTTGCTAGATCGGGGAAGTTCTCCTGGATAATATCCTGCAGAGTGTTTTCCAACTTGGTTCCATTCTCCACATCACTTTCAGGTACACCAATCAGACGTAGATTTGGTCTTTTCACATAGTCCCATATTTCTTGGAGGCTTTGCTCATTTCTTTTTATTCTTTTTTCTCTAAACTTCCCTTCTCGCTTCATTTCATTCATTTCATCTTCCATTGCTGATACCCTTTCTTCCAGTTGATCGCATCGGCTCCTGAGGCTTCTGCATTCTTCACGTAGTTCTCGAGCCTTGGTTTTCTGCTCCATCAGCTCCTTTAAGCACTTCTCTGTATTGGTTATTCTAGTTATACATTCTTCTAAATTTTTTTCAAAGTTTTCAACTTCTTTGCCTTTGGTTTGAATGTCCTCCCGTAGCTCAGAGTAATTTGATCGTCTGAAGCCTTCTTCTCTCAGCTCGTCAAAATCATTCTCCATCCAGCTTTGTTCTGTTGCTGGTGAGGAACTGCATTCCTTTGGAGGAGGAGAGGCGCTCTGCGTTTTAGAGTTTCCAGTTTTTCTGTTCTGTTTTTTCCCCATCTTTGTGGTTTTATCTACTTTTGGTCTTTGATGATGGTGATGTACAGATGGGTTTTCGGTGTAGATGTCCTTTCTGGTTGTTAGTTTTCCTTCTAACAGACAGGACCCTCAGCTGCAGGTCTGTTGGAATACCCTGCCATGTGAGGTGTCAGTGTGCCCCTGCTGGGGGGTGCCTCCCAGTTAGGCTGCTCGGGGGTCAGGGGTCAGGGACCCACTTGAGGAGGCAGTCTGCCCGTTCTCAGATCTCCAGCTGCGTGCTGGGAGAACCACTGCTCTCTTCAAAGCTGTCAGACAGGGACACTTCAACACTGTGATTTTTGATACATTTTTTTTTTTTTACATTGCACAAACTCCTCCCCAGACCTTCCCATAAAGTAGTGGGAGCCAAACCATGTGTTGTTTTCCTTAAATGGCCACAGTTCATTTGTATGTGTTTTTTATTATAACTATATTAATATATGGGTAGTGCTCTCAATTGAAGTAGCCAGAAATGTGCCTGATCAATACAATTGTCAATGAACCTTTTGCTCCTTTTATTGGCTCTTCTGCTGTGTTCTTGGCTCACCTAACACTTGAGTTCATATGAATGTAAACACTGCGCTTTCCTCTTTAATATCTCCTCTGAATTCACTAAGTTAACAAGTACTATTTCTACTAACTAAATCTATTTCTATTCTCCATCAAAAATATGTTTCTTATTATTATTATTCAATAAAGTAAATAATCAAGATAGAAACTAGAAGTTAATATACAAAATTATATCCCCCACAAATATTATGTATACATAATATATATTCGTATAAAAGTGTGTCTCTATCTCATGGTAACTATTTTGTCTGCACCTCTTCAGTAATCTACATGATTTGTATCTATTATTAGATTCTTAAGAACTTGTACTTTATCTGATGAATTTGGAATTTCTATAACACAGTTATTATATATGTATGCATATCTCTGTATATGTAATATTTAAAACATTTGTTAGTATGTAGGTATATATAGGTATATAGGTATATATAGTATATAGGTAAAATGGTTATGCATTTTGTAGATATAAGCTAGTGTGTAAAGTGATATGATTAAAAAGGTATATGGCATACTCTCTACTATTGAGCAAAGTAACTTTATGTGCAGAAGTGTGACATATACCTCTAAATGTAAAAAAGCATACACAGTCTTTTATGGCTAGTTGCCAGGTGGCTGGCTCAGAAAGCAGGCAGCACAGAATTTAAAGAGGAAGCCAGTATCCTACTGGGCGTTGGAGAACAGAGATGAGGTGGGATTGATTAGTCTCAGAGCAGGATGAGAATTAAGGAAAGAAAAATTTTAGGGTGTGGTGTCACCAAAGAAGGAGAAATACAAATTCGTTGTTTAGTAAAGTTTGCTTTGTCAAAAAGTTTATGTATAATGAATTTGAGGAGGTTGTGGTGGAAATCCCTGTGGAGTACTTTGAATATCAAGTTAATTTAGATTATTTTCTTACTCTCAAGGGATATTTCTAGGCAAAGTTTAGAAGGTGTGATTTAAGGATCTTTTCTATTATTAATGTTTAGAAGAGGCTTGAGGGATGACAAATATTGACAGGAAGTGGTAACTGCTAGGACTAGCAGGTAGAAAGAAAAAGAGGTTTACCAAGACAGCCCGAAGGAAAGAAAACAAAGTTTGATGATTTACTAAGTGGACTTAGAAGGGAAGACAGAACCCTCAGAAAGGACTATATTTTTTGAGGTTATAAAGTAGAAAATGTAAGAAGCAATGAGTTCCACTTTCAACATCTTGAGTAAAGATTAAATAAAGTCACATTTGTTGTAATTTGGAAATAATTTATAGAGAGATGGCAGATGAAATCAGAAATTTATTTAACAAATACTTATTAAAAACCTTCCAAGTGCCAAACTTTGGAGATAAAAAGGGAAATAAGGTATATGTGATCCTTGTTGTTTAGTAGGAGAGACAAACAAACACAAAAAGTAAATAAATATTTAAGACAAAACAAGGAGAGAAGGGTCCTAAGCCAATTACATTTGCAGTAGATATAAATGCTGCTTGATACAGTAGAAGTTCAGTGTCAACGAAATTCAGTGAAGAGATGCTTAGAAATTAACAATGATCAACTGGACCCAAAATACCTTTGAGCTTCTTGAAAATGTCATCCTATGTGTTTATTTATTTTTCATTTCCATGGTAAACAGAATATTTTCTCCTTTAATATGTAAAGGTGAAAAAAAGAAAGGAGAAGCTAAAATTCCTCATTTAGGTGCTCCAACACTGGTGGATAACCTTGTATAAAAATTGTTTGAAAAAACTGGCTTCTACCCATCTTCCTATTGAGCTGGTATTATAGTTGTAGAGGGCTGGCTGAGAACTTCAGAGAACAGTACCCCAATCCTCCGGAGTCCAACACTTATCCTAGGGGTAAGGAGAGGCAGTTTGCCCTGGGAAGCTGGGATGAATTGAGGGTGACCGTATTCTTAGCCTAGATGTACTCAGGCAACAGCTGAAGTGGGCAAAGTTAGTCCTTGGCCTTTCCCTTACCCATTACAATTTATACCTAATTAACATGAGGTAAAATAATCATTATGCAAATAATTAAATGTGTCACATTAATTTTTATGTAAGTTGCATTAGCTCACAACATCCTATTTCAGCAGGGAACATGAACCTTCTACGCTGGTCTTATATTGCTCACATAGCAAGTAATTGGTTACTAGGTTTAAAATTAGAGAAAATATATTTACATGTCAGTTTTTTTCTTCATTTGTGCAAATTTATGGAGTACATGAGGAATTTTGTTACAGGTATAAAATGCATAGTGATTAAAAAATCAGGGTACTCAGGGTGTCCATCACAGCACATTTTTGTTAAGTGTACAGCACATTTTTGTTAAGTGTAGCCATTTTACTCTGCTATCAACGACTGAGTTTATTCCTCCTCCCTTGTTTGTACCCTTAAACTCATTTCTCTTCATCCTCGTATCAGTTCTTAAAAGTCAACTTCAGTCCTGCCGTCATCAGGAAAGGTTTTTTTCTCTTTACTTTTAAAGTAGATGACCCCATTTGGTTTCCTTTCTCCACATTCCTATAGCTTTTATGTATAATATATTAAATATTAATGATCTAGTTTTATTGACTTTTAAATGTCTTTTTGTAAATCTGTCATTTTCCTATATGGATTTTAAACTTCTGACAAAGTGTCTGTGCCTAATAAATCAAATAATACACCATTCAATATGTTGTAAACATTCAATAAATTCTTATTATGTCATTGATGCATTGATGATGGCCACCCAAAGATTTTGAGGAACATTTGCACAAAGAATTTGGTCTGGATGTGAACATATTAACCTTGGTATATCAGGAGGAAGGGAGATTAATATGTGATAAAATGTTTTACATATAATTAGTATAACTCACTTTACTTTAAAATACATAATGTAATAACATCTGTGCCCTTCAACATAGAACACTATTTGGAAATAACACCGAAATATTATCAAAATGACAAGTAACTTAGCAGGCAACTGGCATCTTAAAGGATGTTTGATTTCTTATAAAATCTTACAGATATAATATGTAAAATAATACACAAATCAATAACAAGTTAAAATCCATTTCTAAATGGCTAAATCAATGTTAAAAAAATCTCTCAGAAAATCGTTCTCTTCTCAAGCTATGTGTCAATAAGCAACCTATGAAAGGTGGAGACATTTTCAAAAAAACAACTTAAAAGGGTTATTGTAGTTATTTTATAAAATCCAATTTCCTCAATGCCTCAGAATGTAGATATCTTATTTTATGTTAAAAAAAAAACACCTCCAAGTAACAAATTGAGATTTACAGGTAGTTTTTAGACACAGTGTATATTATGAGGATACAATATTTCACTGCTTTAAAATCAATTAACCATGTATCTACATTATTTCAAAAATCAACTTTAAAAAGTGAAACTATGACTCATAATTTTGATTTTCTTAAATGTTAGCTCTCATATCAAATTCTCCTAATCTTATCTCATTAATAAAAGACATTATTAAAGACATATATATCATAGGCATAATTTTGAGCTTTACAGTATTTTTTAAATTGACTTTAACTAACATTTATCATAGATTAAAATGAAATATGTCATTGCTTGTCAGGAAAAATGGTGTTTTTCCTGCATATTAAAATATAAATTATTCCCTACTGTAAAAGTCCTAAAGTTCCACAGTAATATTAGCAAAAGTTTATGGCCAAATATAATGTGATGATGTGAAATATCACCTACATATGCCCTTTCCTGCTTCCCTCAGCTATCACTGGCACCTTCCCATCTGAGTGCTAAACTGGAAGTGCTGGACTGTTAGGTCACATATGAGAAAAAAAAAAAAGCTATCTTTTTAATCCTAAATTAAAAAGAAGTACCTTTCCAAAGGGCAAACTTCAAAAATCTCCCTTAAGATATTAAGGAGGCAAAAGGCTTCTGCCATGAAAGAAAGGGACAAAGAGACAAAGAAAGGAAGGAAGAAGGGAAGGAAAGAAGGAAGGGAAAAAGGAAGGAAGGAAGGAAGGGAGGGAGGGAGGGAGGAAGGAAGGGAGGGAGAGAGGGAGGGAAGGAAGGAGACAGAGAGAGAGAGGGAGAGAGAGAGAGAGAGAGAGAGAGAGAGAGAGAGAGAGAGAGAGGGACAGAAAAGAAAAGAAAAGAAAAGAAAAGAAAAGAAAAGAAAAGAAAAGAAAAGAAAAGAAAAGAAAAGGAAAGCTAAGAAAAAGGAAGGAAAGAAGGGAGGAAGGAAGAAAAGGTTCCCGCCTGAGGAATGGGGGTAGCATGGATACAGTTTTAGGGAGCAAAAATTGTTATTCTTGACATACCTCCCCACAATATGTAGGAATATTTGCAAGTGAAGGAAACTGGTATCATATTCCCTACATGGAATTTTCCAATCAACAGAATCTCTAGACACATCCTAATGGCTCAGAATTGTGGTAAATGCCAAAAAGAGATGACAGAGTGGTATTACAAGAAGGAAGGTGTCAATGAGGGCTTACTATTTCTGCGTAGCTGATGCAACCTGGGAAGGAATCCCTGGGCTTCCCACACACCCAAGGAACCAAGGAGATGCTATGGCATTCATAAGCTTGCCACTTCCATGGCCCCACACCAAGAAGGCATCCAGAAGTGAAAAATACCGGAGAAAGCTGTGGGGTGATTACTCATTGAAAATGTGAGGTAGAAGTAATCATTTCTCTGTAGAATTCTTGGTACCCTGAGGTTATGGAGTGTGTGGCCAGCTGGGCACTGGAGGAACACTTAATGTGCCACAAGTTAGTCTTATAATAACACAAAAGAGTTAGTATAAGATATCTGAGAAAGCAGAGGACCTAAAATTAAACAGCTAGATATAACCAGTACCGGAAAACAGGCTGGGTAAAAACCCTGACAGTCAGAGCCAGTAGATAACTGAGCACACACTAAACAAACAACCTATATTTTTTTTTTTCAGTCTTAAACATAAATAGAGTTTCCACTCCTTCCAAGCTCCCCTCACTACTCTTTGGACGGGCTTGAAATATTTTGGGAGTTTAGAACGTGCAATAGGAAGGAGAAGAATTCAAAATAGCTTAATTTTCCTACCTCTATTCTACTAGAGACTACTCAAACCTGAAGGAATTGAAAGCATACAAAGGTGGACTGAATTTAACTAATTGGGATAGAATCACTTGTAGACGACTTGCTACAGGGGTGAGGCATGCTGAGGCTTCAGAACCAAGAACATTCCGTGAGACTCCAGCTTTATATTTGCTTATATCTGATGCTAAATATTCAATTATATTTGTTACTCAAATGAATCATATGATTGGTATTGTTTAATATATCCTCTTACAACAGTAGGAGAGTCTTCTGGATCAGAAACCATTTCCTAACTCTAACGCATCAAGAAGTTGAGATCTGAAAATGAATACTATGTATAGCTTCTAAAAAATTAGATGTATAAAGAAAACTTATCTCAAAAACTAAGTGCTGATCATTTTTCTTGCTAATCATTGATTGAAGAAAACTTCCCATGTATAACAGGATTAATAATAATAATACCAGAACAGGTCATCATTTTTCAAGCATATTAGTTTTATATGTATGCCTATTTCAACCCAATATAATTTATTGCGATTATTATTGTCTATTTATAAAGTTTTGAATCCTTTGGCCTGATGGACATCTTTAGTTTTATAGCCTGGCAAACAGAAGTTGCTTTATATTTCATTCAACTTCAAGTATTCCAGTAGTGGAATTCTGAAAAGAGAATTGGCTATCTGCCAACACAAATAATTCAATCGGAACAAATATGT